>NC_000022.11:33103503-33255018 GCF_000001405.40 Homo sapiens | reverse complement strand
TTGCAGTGAGCAGAGATCTCGCCGCTGCACTCCAGCCTGGGTGACGGAGTGAGACTCCGTCTCAAAAAAAAAAAAAAAAAAAATCTACAGGTAGACCATGCAGAGCTGGAACAGTTACTGTGAGATTATTAGATATGAGCTCCTTTTATGTCACCACCTCCAGCATCAGAATTCTGCTTCAAGGTCCAAGATAGTTTAAGGACCTTGAACTACAGACCAAGTAGAGAAAGAGAAGAAGAATGATACTATCAATAAACCTAGTAAGTACTATGGACCAGAGACTGTCCTAAGTGCTTTACATATTATTTCATTACTTCTTCTAGCAACCCAGTGAGGCAGGTTCTATTATTGTCCCATTTAAGAATTGGAAATTGAACCACAGTGAGGTTGGGTGACTTGCTCAGGGTCACACAGCTTGTAAGTGGCAGACCTGGAATTTAAACTGAGTCATTCTGGCTCTGGAGTCTATAGCCTTAGCTATCCCTTCTTTGAAAGGAGATGTCCCCACAGTGATATGTAGCACATTTGCTTAGCACGGAGAAACTGTATATAAAATAGACAATGGCCAGACCATATCTGACAATGGAACTCTGACCCACAACCTCTGTAGCAACCAACCAAACCACAACCTCTTCAACAATGGGCCTACTATTGTCAGAGCTTGCTCAAAGACTGCCAGCTGTCCTAGTTTTTGTCCCCTGCTTCCAACACAGGCCCAACGAGGGAAATCCAAACATGCTCCCCAGTCCAGTCACACACCATGTCCCATTTCTAGTTAGCCCACCTCCAGCTTCCCCAGGCCAAAAACCTTCAATAGGAGCACTCCTGAAGCCTTCCTCTTTTTTTCGTGATAAGCTTTCCTACTCCTTGGCCTGCCTTTGAGTCCCTGCCAAATGCACGTGGTAGTGGCTGCTTTCATTGCTGTAGCAAGTTCTGAAGAAACAGCCTGTTTGCTCCCACTTTGGGTAGCTTTCACTTATTCCCACGCATCTTATTGGCTAGAACTTGGTCACATAACCAAACCTTGCTAAAAGGAGGCTGGGAAGTGCAGTCTTTTACATAGGTGGCAAGCTAAAGATTTAGCGTTCTTTTACTAAAAAAAAAAAAAAACCAAGAAGGAAAGAATGAAAATTGGGAAGGAGCTACCAGTGTTGGTCATACCCACCATCCCCTGGGCATAGGAACCTTTGGCAAAGTATGCCAGCCAGGCCCTGCTTTCTCAGACTAAGGAGGCAGCCTTCCCCTCCGAGGTGCAGCCCCATCCTCAGATACTACTCTAGAGTGCTGCACGAGGTGCTGCTCTTCCTGCGATGGAGTCTCGCTCTGTCGTCCAGGCTGGAGTGCGATGGTGCAATCTTGGCTCACTGCAACCTCCACCTTCCGGGTTCAAGCGATTCTCCTGCCTCAGCCTCCCGAGTAGCTGAGATTATAGGCGCCTGCCACCACACCCAGCTAATGTTTGTATTTTTAGTAGAGACAGGGTTTCACCATGTTGGCCAGGCTGGTCTCAAACTCCTGACCTTAAGTGATCTGCCCACCTGGGCCTCCCAAAGTGCTGGAATTACAGGCATGAGCCATGTAATCTCTGTTCTTTACCTAGTCTGTTTCCTCCCAACATACTTACAGTCTCAGAGGCGTTCCTCCATCTTCTTTCACCCTCTGAGACACATAGTGCTACTCTTTAATTAGTTTAGGGCCTGGGGGAAAAACAAGGGTAATAAAAATGACTTGCACTTATTAGTTCCCTTATGATATGATTATAATTGTTCTAAGAACTTTATGTTTTTAATCAATTTAATTGTCACAACAACCCTATAAGATAGGCAGCATTATCCCTATCATATCTACGAGCAAACAGAGTGGCTAAGTAGCTTTCTCAGGTTCTCACAGCCTGATTCGCTGTCTCCACTTCACTTGACACGTCTGTTCATTCTCCTTTCAATAATTCTTTCTGTATAATCCAGTTACATTCCACGTCACACCTTCTGAGCTCATAATCTCCCCATTCTAATGGCCAGCCCAGACTAAAAATGCCAATTCAGTCTCAGCTCCAAATTGCTGAGAGAAAGAGTCTGATTCCCCATGTATCCATCCCTTGTCTATCACACTTTGGTCAAAGACCATGATGACGTTACACAAACCCTAACTCTAGCAGTGGGCTCTCAGAAAAATGGAGTGACCCCAAAGAGTGTCTCCTAAATTCTGTTCTTTAAGCATTTGTAAAGAATACGATGGGATTCATAGCCAAAAAGAAAAACCAACAAAGAATTACATGAACCCAAAAGAATGTTGCTTGGAAGAGCAGAGGCTGACAAAGTTGTAAATAACACCACCAACAAACAAAGGAAGGCACACGTCTTTGGGCAAATGTTAGAATGTTAAAACTTAAAAGGAAGAAAAATAAACGACTCAATTCCTACTTTGCTTTACTGCCAAAGGGAACAATTCCTAACTATAAATGGTAGAAAAGCTATCTTGAAGAGGACACTTCCCTAAAGATAGAAGATAATAATAAGAGAACGTTTAATATGCTTTAAATGAATTCAAATTCCCGGGACCAGAATAATTACATCTCAGGGCACAGAATGTATTAATAAAATGCATGCATGTTGATGAAGTCAACATTACTACTCATTAAGAAATGATGGAGAAGGAGAGTTAGGCTGGAAGACTAGAGTAAGGTAAATATTGATTTGTTTTACCAACAAGGAAAAAAGGAGGGATTCTAGATATATATTAATGAGTTTAAAATGGCGGGGGGGGGGGGAATGAAGGAATTATCATTAAAAAGATGGCTTATAAATATTTATAACTTAAAAATAATTATTAGGAGTTATCAAAGGTTTATTTGATTAGTTAACTCATTCATGAAACATTTGTTGAGTATGCAGTATATCCCAGATATAGAGGTAATAAAAAATTTCTAAGATTAGCTTTGCCATGTATTTAGTAGCCTTTACTAACAAAAGGTCAGGACAAACTTAGTGTCACTTTCTTTTCTGTTGCTTTTGCCAGCTAAGTAGAACACTGGGATGCATTTAGACTTCAGCAAGCTCTGTGAGATGGACTCTAATAGCTTATGGACCAGATGGAGATGTATGGACTGGCTGGTAGTTATTAAATGTTCACTCAACTGGGTAGATCACCATAGACAGAGGTTATTGTCTAATTGTCAGTCTTACCATAGTTTGCACTTCTTTACGAGCCAGGCATATTGTTCCCCAAACAGTGAGAGACTGAGCTGAAAGACTGTGCAAATTTCCATCACCAAAGTTGGACAGCTGTGGCAGAAACTGATATGGCAATAGAGGTTTGCAATGGGGTTTGAAAGAAGCTAAATAATAGCACCTCTTTTTCCAACTTAATTTACCTAAGTGTGAGAGATATAAAAATAACAAGCAAAGGGAAAACCAAAATGCCACCTTTATTACCAAGAGTTGCTATTGATAAGTTTAACACATCTTCAGGCCAGGAGAATCTTTAGTACTAGAATTAAGCATATATATCCATCATGTCACAGGAGTGTTGAATCATGTCCAGATTGCCCATGTGACAACAGACCCTGTTTCATGTTTGGCATGATCCCAAGAAAAAAAAACAGAGCAGAAAGTCACTGGCTGATGCATACCCAATTTCTTCTCCAAAAATCACAAATCAGATAAACAAAAATAGTTAAGTACAGGTGTGTTTCACTAGTTGAGCTCCCTCCACAGAGAAAGAGCCATCAGGAGTAAAGAAGAGGCACGTCTTTCTTAACAATGAGCTCCAGAATGGACACATGGGTGTTCCACATCCAGAAGAACAGAGTAGTCTATCTTACTGCCAAAGTTGGAAGCATTTGGCTCTAGGATATCAAATAAGGCCAGTAGTGTAGGGTGTCAAGGGCCCAGGTATTGAGCACAGTAAGAGATAAGATTGACTACCAAACATTTGAGGAAGAAATTGTACCAATTCCCTATAATCTCTTTCAGAGGATAGAAACAGAGGGAATACTTTCTACATCATTCTATGAGGCAAGCATGACCCTAATACCAAAACCAGAAAAAGCCATTACAAGAAAAGAAAACTACAGACCAATATCTCCCATGAACATAAATACAAAAATCCTAAACAAAATATTGGCAAATCAAATTCACCAGTGCATAAAAAGAATTGTACACCATCAAGTAAGATTTATCCCAGCCGTGCAAGGCTGATTCAATTTGAAATCAATTAATGTAATCCATTACATCAGTAAGCCAGGGAAGAAAAATTACATGATCATATAAGTAGATGAATAACAGGCATTTGACAGAATCCAAAAGTCAATCATGATTAAAAGTCTCAGTAAAGTATGAATAGAGATGAATTTCCTCAACTTGATAAAAAATACAAAAAACCTACAGCTAATATCACACGTAGTGGTGAGAAATTTAAAGCTCTTTCACTAAAATCAGGAAGGATATCTCCTGTACTACTTTTCAGCATCATACTGGCATTACTAATGAATGTAATAAGACAAGAAAAGGAAAGAAGAGTACACATATTGAGAAAGAAGAAATAAAATTGTTTTTGTTCACAGATGACATGATTGTCTGTGTAGAAAATCCAAAAGAACTGACAAAAAACGCATGGAACTAATAAGCAATTAGAGCAAGGTTGCAGGATGCCAGGTTAATGTATAAACATCAATTGCTTTCTTACATATCAGCAATGAACAAGTGGGATTTTAAATTAAAAACACAAGACTATTCACATTAACACCTTTAAAATGAAATACTTAGGTAAAAATCTAACAAAATATGCATAAGGTCTATATAAGGGAAACTATAATGATGAATGACATCAAAGAACTAAATAAATGGAGAGATATGTACATGAATAGGAAGACAATGTTATCAAGATATCAGACCTTCCTAACTTTATCTGTAGATTCAATGCAGTTCAAATTCAAATCCCAGCAAGTTTATTACGTGAATATTGGCAAACTGATTCTAAAGTTTATATGTGGAGCAAAAGACTCAGAATAGCCAACACGATATTGAAAGAGAAAAATGAAGTTGGAAGACTGACACTCTCTGACTTGAAGGACTTAGTATAAAGTGATAGTAATCAAGACACTGTGGAATTGGTGAAAGAATGACTATATCAATGGAACAGAATAGAAAGCCCAGAAATAAACCCACATAAATATAGTCAGCTGATCTTTGACAAAGGAGCAAGTACAATACAACAGAGCAAAAATAGTCTTTTCAATAAATGTTACTGAAACAACTGGACATCCACATGCAAAAAATACATCTAGAGATAGACTTATACCCTTCACAAAAATTAACTCAAAGTGGATCATAGACCTAAATGTAAAACCCAGAACTATGGAACTCCCAGAAGATAACATAGGAGAAAACCTAGATGATCTTGGGTATAGTAATGACTTTTAGATACGACAACAAAGGCACGATCTGTGGAAGAAATAACTAATAGGCTAGACTTCATTAAAATAGAAAACTTCTGCTCTGTGAAAGACAGTATCAAGAGAATGAGAAGACAAGCCACAGACTGGGAGAATACATTTGCAAAAGACACATCTGATAAGGAACGGCTAACCAAAGTATAAAAAGAACACTTAACACTCAGCAATAAGAAAAAAAGCAACCAGCTTAGTAAATGTGCCAAAGACTTTAACAGACATCTCACCAAAGATATGCAGATGGTAAATAAACATATAAAAAGTTGCTCTACATCATATGTCATCAGAGAAATGCAAATTAAAACAACAATGATATGCCACTACACAGCTATTAGAATGGCCAAAATCTGGAACATTGGCAAGGATGAGGTGCAATAGGAACTCTCATTTATTGCTGTTGGAATGCAAAACGGTACAGCTACTTTGATTTGACAGTTTGACAGCCTCTTATAAAACTAAACACACTCTTATCATGTGATCCAGCAATTACACTCCTTGGTATTTACCCAAGGGAGTTGAAAACTTATGTCCACACGAAAACCTACATGTGGATGTTTATAACAGTTTTATTCAAAACTGCCAAAACTTGGAAGCAACCAAGATATCCTTCAGTAGGTAAATGGATACATAAACTGTGGTACATCCTGACAATGGGATATTATTCCGCTCTGAAAAGAAATGAGCTATTAAGCCATGAAAAGGCACGGAGGAACCTTAAATGCACATTTTACTAAGTAAAAGATGCCAGTCTGAAAAGCCTGTGCACTGTATGATTCCAACTATATGGCATTCTGGAAAAGGCAAAACTGTGGAGATAGTAAAAAGATCAGGGGTTGTGGAGGGAGTGTTGGGAGTTGACCACACAGAGAAATTTTAGAGCAGTGGAAATACTCTGTATGATACTATAATGGTGGATACATGTCATTATACATTTTTTCCAGACCCACAGAATGGACCACACCAAGAGTAAACTCTAAACTATGCACTTTGGGTGATTAGGACACGTTAATGTTGGTTCATCAATTGTAACCAATGGACCACTGTGGTGGGCTGTGCTGATAGAAAGTCTACACGTGGCTCACGTGTTGGCTCACGCCTATAATCCCAGCACTTTGGGAGGCTGAGGTGGGTGGATCATGGTCAGGAAGTCAGGAGTTCAAGACCAGCCTGGCCAAGATGGTGAAACCCCCTCTCTACTAAAAATACACAAAAAAATTAGCTAGGTGTGGTGGCACGCACCTGTGGTCCTAGCTACTCAGGAGGCTGAGGCAGGAAAATTGCTTGAACCTGGGAGGCAGAGGTTGCAGTGAGCCGAGAACACACCACTGCACTTCAGCCTGGGTGACAGAGCAAGACTCCATCTCAAAAAAATAAAAAAAATGTCTACAAGTGTTGGGGAAGGTGGCGTATGGAAACTCTCTGTATCTTTCTCTCTGAATTTTGCTGTGAACCTAAAACTGCTCTTAAAAAATAAAGACTTGAAAAAAGAAGAAATCAGATTGAGTCATGAGTCAAACCTCAGTTATGAGGTTCCAATCTTGGCAAAAGGAAATGGCAAGAGTGAGTACTATTGTTAAATTTGTCAAGAGTCAAATTTATCTGTGATTCAGGGTAAATTCCCTGGTCCAGGGTTGGAGGCTTTCAGAAGAAAGAGAAACCTAGTCAGAATTTCTAGAATAGTGTTTCTCAGTTCCTCAGCATTTCCAGACCAGCTCACGGGCATCTGTTTCAGGCAAGGCACCAGTCAGGTTATCTATGTCTAGCTTGATAATGAATAGCTTGAGATATATGTCCGGGCTCCACAATCAGTACACTGCCTTGTTCTTTATCCCATCAATATTGGAAGATTCCCATTCATACTTATAAGAACATTTAGATAATTATTGATATTCAAATGAAACATTGACGCAAAAAGAATAGATTTATCACTGAAGATTATTGTCCATATTTCATTAGACATAAACACAGAACATGCAACGTTTTAGCTTTCAGCTAATCTTTCAACTTGAAAGATGAATATCAATCAATTCTTTGGTTGAATGTGTCTCTGGAAAATATTTTTACGTGATCTGTGGCAGCATTTGGATGTGATTTTTCAAACATCATCAATAATATATCATTAGTTTCTTTCACTGACAAAGGAAGAAAATTATCAGCTGTAATGATTGACAAATTTATTCACGGCTTGGTCTTCTTAAGACATTCTAATATTGTGTCCTGAATATTATAAATTATACTCCTTTAGCTCTGAAATGATAGATTCAGTTTATTCTAGATACTGACTACAATTTTGAAACATATCAATCCATTCTAAGTAATTGAAGTAATTAAATCACAAAGAAATATTTCCTTTTTATGCCTCACTTTTTTTAAAAAAGAACATTTTGGTTTTGTTTTTTTTTAATGAATCACTCTGTGCAACTTTAAAAGTAGAGTTTTATATTCACTGACCTTTTCTTAACATACCACACTGAAAAGATACAACACACACACACACACACACACACACACACACACACACATACTGGCTGCAGTTCTCTCATAGTAAAAATTTTCACAGTGTCTTTCAACCTTAGATCAAGATTGTGAGACATATTGTTGGCTACTGATTATTCTCTGTGAATAAAATGCTAGAAAAAATTTATGTGTACTGTTGGCATAGATCCCAGCACATTTTGTGCTGTTCTTCTCATGGCTCACAAAATCACTTTAATTTTTTAAAAGGCTTTTCTTGTGCCACAGGCTTTCAGTGATAAAAAGTTGTTGACCACACTCTATGTCATATATACATTACACGTATTTGAGAAATTGATTCATACTCCGCCTATCAGTGGTTTAATCCAAATGTAAAGCACAATATGTGCTGGAAATTCATGCTTAATAATTTCTCTTCAGTTTTTAAAAGTTGTTATTTATTTATTTTTTAGATGGAGTCTCGCTCTGGCACCCAAGCTGGAGTGCAGTGGTGCGATCTCGGCTCACTGCAACCTCCACCTCTTGGGTTCAATCTATTCTCTGGCCCCAATCTCCTGAGAAGCTGGGATTACAGGTGCGCACCACCACGCCTGGCTAATTTTTGTATTTTTGGTGGAGACAGGGTTTTGCCACGTTGGCCAGACTGGTCTCGAACTCCTGGCCTCAGGTGATCCATCCCGCTCAGCCTCCCAAAGTGCTAGGATTAAAGGGGTGAGCCACCGCGCCTGGCCACTTTACTTTGTAAAATCACTGACAGTACATAATATCCCAAAGTGTTACTTGATTAAGGAATTTGGCAAAATTTCCATAAAAGCTTTGACTAGTATGGTGGGGTTTTCAGCAATAGTGTGATTTGTACATGTTTTGAATGATGTCTCTGCAGTGTTGGACTCTTCTACACTTGAACATAAAATTCTCATATCACCCTAAAAAGCATTATTTGGTGGAAGGACTTGAGGAAAGAACTTTACTGGATGTCCAAAGAGGTTGCTATTTTATTTTAAAATGGTGCATTTCTATGGCTACAGCAGTATTTGCAAGGTTTCAAGCTTGACAGTTCCTTGAGCAGCAGAAGCCATGAATTGCAAGTTTAATAAAATACATTTTAAGATATTTCATATTATCTTTTTATTGACACTTCTCATTTTTTTGGATGAATTCTGTTTGTTTGTTTGTTTTTGTTTTTGAGATGGAGTCTCGTTCTGTTGCCCAGGCTGGAGTGCAGTGGCGCAATCTCAGCTCACTGCAACCTCCGCCTCCCAGGTTCAAGTGATTCTCCTGCCTCAGCCTCCCAAATAGCTGGGACTACAGGCATGCACCACCACGCCTGGCTAATTTTTGTATTTTTGATGGAGACAGGGTTTTGCCACATTGGCCAGACTGGTCTCGAACTCCAGACCTCAGGTGATCTGTGCACCTCAGCCTCCCAAAGTGCTGGGATTACAGGCATGGGCCACCATGCCCGGCCAAGAGCAGAGCTTTCAAAAGACGTTTGAAATAGCATCAAGATCCTGAGGCATTTTTTTAAACTGTAAGGAGATGAAACATGGCTTCACCAGTACAATCCTGAAGACAAAGCACAATCAAACTAATGGCTACCAAGAGGTAGAAATGGTCCAGTCAAAGCAAAAGCAGATCATTCAAGAGCAAATATCTTGGCAACAGTTTTTTGGGATGCTCAAGGCACTTTGCTTGTTGAATTTTGGAGGACGACAGTGTGATCATATCTGCTTATTATGGGAGTGTTTTGAAAAAGCCAAAACTCTAGCAGAAAAACACCCAGGAAAGCTCCACGAGAGAGTCATTCTCCAACACAACAGTGCTCTTGCCCATTCCTCTCATTAAACAAGGGCAATTTTGCAAGGGTTTCAATGAGAAATCATTAGACAACCACCTTGCTGTCCTGATTTGGCTCCTTCTGACTTCTTTTTGTTTCCTAATCTTAAAAAATCTTTAAAGGGCATTCAGTTTAGTTAATAATGAGAAAAGATGGCATTGACAAGTTAAATTCCCAGGACCCTCAGTTCTCCAGGGATGGACTAAATGGCTGGTTTCATTGCTT
Organism: Homo sapiens; assembly: GCF_000001405.40. Taxonomy (NCBI): domain Eukaryota; kingdom Metazoa; phylum Chordata; class Mammalia; order Primates; family Hominidae; genus Homo; species Homo sapiens. Next base: position 33,245,032 of record NC_000022.11, on the reverse strand, counting down.
ACACAAGTGTCTTGAACTTGATGGAGCTTATGTTGAGAAATAAAATTTATATTTTTTATTTTTATCTTTTAATTTTATTTTTCCACAAACTTTTTAAAGTCCACTTGTATGAAGACTTGGTGGGGCATTTTGAGGGCAGGGGCTGTTGTTTTTGCCACTGTTCAAGTTGTTGGAGTTGTTATCCACTTCCCCTCCCCCTCCTTACGTACACTCCATGATTAGAAGCATCCTGGTGATCACTAAGAGCTCCGCCACTTCAACATCCTTTCTTGTAATTATTTCATGAATGGATCAGATTTTAGACACGATGATTTACGCCATCAGTTGAAGATCCTTAGCTGTAGCAGGTCAAGATGATGACAGATGGCATAGTTGATTTCTAACTGCCTACAGAGACTAATGTATATCTTTTCTTTGAAGACCCTAAAAGCATATCTGGTGCTCATGTTCAAAGGGGCTTAGGTTGTCCTGCAAAGTGCTTCTTCCAGGGACTCCCTTCCACTTTGATCCAAACAAGCTGAATTTTGGATAAAATGGGGCTAAAGAATGGAGTTCAGGGAGCATAAAAAGTCAGAGGCTTGGATTCATGTTTCAGCTCTCTTCTAAAAAGTTGCTTAGCCTTTTTGAGACTCAGTTTCCTCATCTGCACAATGGGGATGGTCATCTTTGCTTAGCTTATTAGAATTTGTGACAATAATTGAACTAGACAGTGAATATGAAAAGACTTTAAAAACTATAGGCCGGGCGCGGTGGCTCATGTCTGTAATCCCAGCACTTTGGGAGGCCGAAGTGGGCGGATCACGAGGTCAGGAGATCGAGACCATCCTGGTTAACATGGTGAAGCCCCGTCTCTACTAAAAATACAAAAAAAAAAAAATTAGCTGGGCTTGGTGGCGGGTGCCTGTAATCCCAGCTATTTGGGAGGCTGAGGCAGGAGAATGGCATGAACCCAGGAGGCGGAGCTTACAGTGAGCCGAGATCGCGCCACTGCACTCCAGCCTGGGCGACAGAGCAAGACTCCGCCTCAAAACAAAACAAAACAAAACAAAAAACTGTAAACCACCACACAAAGTGAAATGACCACATTATTTACTATTGGAATGATGATACCTACACTTTTGCCTGGAGTGGGTTTCAGGACTTTTATTGAGAATGGGCTCCATGGGTAAGTCCCTAACGCCAATGAATGCTTGGCTGATTTTACTACTTTCAGAATAAAAAAAGGTGACCTGAAAACTCTTTATGCATGACTCAACACTTTCATGTCTAAATATTTATCCAAAAGAAATAAGAACATATGCCCACAAAAAAATATTAGCACATGAATGCTCATAGAAGGCCTGTTCAGGAAAGCCTGAAACTGGAAACAACCCAACTGTCCAACAACAAATGAACGGATAGAGAAATGTTGGTATATTTATGAAGTGAAATTCTACTCAGCAATAAAAGGAAAAAATTACTGATACACATAAAATGGATGACTCTCACAGGCATTACATTTACAGAAAAATTGCCTGACATTAAAGACTACAAAGTATATAATTCCAAGGAATATTTGATGTTCTAGAATAGACAAAACTAATCATTGGTGACAGAAATCAAATAAGTGGTTGTCAGAATGGTGATTGGGTTGGGGAATATTGATTAAAAAGAGAAGCAAAGGAACTTTCTGAGGTGATAAAAAATGTTTTATATCTTGATAGTGGTAGAAGTTAAATAGATGTGTACATGTGTCAAAACGCATCAAACTGTACACTTAAAATATACATAAATTATATCTAAATAAAGTTTTACTTAAAAGTATGTTTTGATATAAAGCTTTATTTAAAGTTTTCAATGGTTATTGTTAATTCTGTCTTGTTATGGGTTGAATTAGCTCTACTGCCCCCCATGCAAATTCATATGCTGAAGTCCTAACCCTTGCTACCTCAGAATGTGACTATTTGTAAATGGAGTCATTGTAGATGGAATTAGATGAGTTTAGATGAGGTCATCCTGGAGAAAGGTGAGCACTCAATCCAATGTGACTGATGTCCTTATAGAAAGGGGAAATTCAGACAAATAGAGACACACACAGGGAAAATGCCATGTGGAGAGGAAGGCAGAGATGGAGGTGATGCTTGTACTAGGCAAAAATGTCAAAGATTGCCAGCAAACCACCAGAAGCTGGTGTAGAAACATGGGGCAGGCTGTTCTTCACAGTCTTCAAATGGAACCAAACCTATGTGACATCTCAGACTTCGAGGCTCCAGAACTGTGAGACAATACTTTTCTGTTGATATGCCACCAGTTGTGGTACTTTGTTACAGCAGCCCTAGCAAACTCATACATGTCCCTAGAGTTTAGTTCTCACTTTCACTAACTGCTCAACTCAACTATGTTAATTGAGCACCCTCAAGACCCTGTGAGAAAAACATAAATAAAAATTGTCCTCCTTGGATAACATATATATGAAAAAAACGGAAAGAAAAGCTTAGTTCTGTTAGTTCCCAGCAGGAGTGCTGAGATCGTGTCCATATGAACCAAAATTGTATAAAATAGCTTTAAAAAGTACAGAGCCAACATAATCACCTAACAGTGTGCAATTCTCAGTCTATCTAGCAATAGACTGAGAATGTGTCACTCAGCCAACACATTTCTGTTCTAGTTTAAGAAATCTACTTGGGGAAGTGCATTAAGACTAGAAGATTGATAGGTGCATATAAATTGAATTTGGTTAAGGGATATTTTTAACAAGTTCTGGGAGCAGAATGAATCACCTCTCTCCACCAGAGGTACATAACTGCCCTGAGGTCATTAGTGATTCAGGGTTCCCACCTGCTAAGAGTATTCTATGAACATACTGACAGTCTACTTACTATTCATTCTTTATCTTTAAAATTTTATTTTTAATTGAAAAAATAATATTTTAAATATATTTATTGGGCACAATGTGATGTTTTGATATATGTTTACAATGTGAAATGATTAAATCAGGCTAGTCAACATATTCACTACCTCACATACTTATTTTTCTATGGTGAAAACATTTAAGATCTACTTTTAGCAATTTTGAATTATGTAATGCATTATTAATTATAGTCACCATTCTGTGAAATAGATCACTAAAGCTGATTCCTCTTGTCTAAATGAAACTTTCTACCCTTTGATGGACAGCTATGCTTTCCCCATCCTCTCCCGTCCCCCAGCCCTTGGTAACCATCATCCTACTCTCTACTTGTAGGAGTTCAACTTGTTTAGATTTTGTGAGTGAGAACATGTGGTATTTGCCTTTAGAGTCCTCTAGGTTTATCCATATTGTGTTAAATGACAGGATTCCCTGCCTTTTTAAGGCTGAATAGTATTTCATTGTAATATATATACATACACACACACATATACACACACATATATATACATATATACATATATGTACATAGATACATATATATGTACATATATACACACACATATACACACATATATACACATATATACATATACATATATACACATATATGTACATATATATAACTTTTTTTCATTTATCCATTCACTTAATACATATGATGGAGGGCTTTATATATGCCAGGCTCTGTGATGAATGCTGGAAATTCAATAGTGAGAAAGACTCAGTCTCTGCCTCCAAAGAGCATCATGGGCTAGGTGCTGCAACGAGGAATTGCCAACTGTTGTCATGAGAGCACAGAGAAGGGACTCAACCAGCCTTGAAGAATCAGGGGAGGCTTCTAAGCTAATGGTGTGTGCCTGGGGATCACATTGTTTCAAGCAGCAGTAACAGGATGTGCTCAGGTCCAGATGTGAGAGAGAGAGAGAGCATATGTCTTCAAGAAACTAACAGTAGCTCCCTATAGCTGAAGCAGGAGTACAAAATAGTGAGTTTAAGTGATGAGGCAAGAGATATGAAGAAGCTTGACCATGCAGCTACACCGGGCAGCATGCCCTCTGAGACATCTCATGGAAGCCGGAAATGGGAGTGCCTTGATACCAAGCCAGAGAAATTATAATACTAAGTAGATAGACTGAGCAGCACTCCTCCTGGGAAGAATGAGACAAGCCCTGAATTTGGAGGTAAGTTGTGGATTGGTGATTAGAGGAGAGGTAACAGGCACCAAAGCAAGAAATAGTATTGATGCAAAGCTGAGGTTAATTGGATGACAAAATGAAGAGCATAAGGGGCTCAGACACAGACTGAGCAGAAAACGAGTAGCATCTGAACCTAGATTGAGTTACTAATGGATGAGAAAGAGTTCTTAAAGTTGATGACCACGGGATCCATATATAAGAATGTCCAATCTCCCCAAATTGATCCACGAGTTCAGTGCAATGCCAATCAAAATCCCACTAACAAGTTTATTTTAAAATGTAAATGAAAATACAAAATTTTTAAAAAGCAAAGCAATATTGAAAACCCAGGAAAAATTAGGAGGACTTACACAACCTGATCTCAAAACTTACCATTATCAAGACAGAGTGTTATTGACACAAGGAGAGACAAATAGATAAACGGAATGTGGTAGTCTGGAGATGCACCCACATGTATGTGGTCAATTGATTTTTGGCCAAGGCACCAAGTCAATTCAAAGGAGCAAGGAAAGTAGTACAGAAACAACCAAATATTGTTTTGGAAAATAATGACAAAGGGCTTATAACCAGAATATAAGCATATAAATATAATTCTTTCAAATCAATAATAAGAAGGCAAATATCTAATAAAAATGAGCAAAGACTTGAAAAGTCACTTAAAAAGGCTTATTAATTAGAAATATGCAAATGTTATTAGTCTTCAGTGGAATTTACATTAAACCACAAGGGATACTATTATATCTTATGCCCACTAGAATAACCAAAGGAAAAAAGACAGACAAAACAAAATGCTGGTGAGGATGTGAAGCAACTGGAACTCTCATACATTATTGGTGGTAATGTAAAATTTATACAACCATTATGAATAAAGGTTTGGCAGTTTCTTACAAAGTTGAATGCACTTCTCCACGATGACTAGGCTTTTCACTCATAGGCGTCTGGCTCCCTAGAACTGAAAACATATGTTCACAAGAAGACTTGCAAATATATATTCTCCCACGTCAGGAGATATTTGCTATGCATTTAACTGACATAAGATTAGTGCTAGAGTTTATAATGAGGTTCTTCAAATCTAAAAGAAAATGCAAAGCATATAATAGTAAGGGGTGCAGGCCAGGCGCAGTGGCTCACTCTGTAATCCCAGCACTTTGGGAGGCCGAGGTGGGCGGATCACAAGGTCAGGAGTTCGAGACCAACCTGGCCAACATAGTGAAACCCTGTCTCTACTAAAAATACAAAAACTAGCCAGGTGCGGTGTCATGCACCTGTAGTCCCAGCTACTCGGGAGGCCGAGGCAGGAGAATCACTTGAACCTGGGAGGTGGAGGTTGCAGTGAGCCGAGATCGCGCCACTGCACTCCAGCCTGGGTGACAGAGTGAGACTCTGTCTCAAAAAAAAAAAAAAAAAAAAAGAAAAGAAAAAAAGAAATAGTAAGGCGTACAAAAGATGTGAAAAGATAATTCACAGAGGAAACATATGGAAGTATTGTCAGCTTAATAACCAGGAAAGTGCAATTAAAACCATTGTGATATACCATTTCACACCCGTTTGGTTTCAAACAACAACAACAAAAATCTGTTGATACTAAATGCTGGCCAGCCTGTGTGTAAGTGGGCACTATCTTCCTGGTAGGACTGTAAATTACACTAATTGCTTTGGAAAGAAGTTGGCAATATGTATTTAAGTAGACTGTGTATATACCCTTTGATGCAGCAATTTCACTAGGTATGTACCCATCCCCTTAAATTCCAGCATGAACAGAGAAACAATAATGTTTAGCATAGTATTCTATTATGGTTTATAAAATATGCAGGTCTGTTGAGGTTTTTTTTTTTTTACATTCCTAATAAGGTTAATTTTTGCCTTCTCTCTCCTTTTTGCGATTAATCTTGCCAAAGTTTTAATTTATTTGTTTTTTGAAGATAACTTTGATTTGATCTTATTTTTTTTCTATTTTATTAATTTTGACTCTTACTTTTATTATTGCTTCCATTCTATTCCTTTTGGATTTAATCTGTTATTTCTCTTTGATCTTCTTAAATGTAACCACTTCCTAAATTATTTTCAGTGTTCCTTATTTCTCAATATATGAATTTAAGGCTATACATTTTCCAGGAACCACTACTTCAGTAATGTCACAAAGGGTTCTGTATGTACTGGTTTCATTGTTATACGATGCTTAATGTTTGCTAATTCCATTGTAATTTTTCCTTCAAACTATGAATGATAAAGATGTGTATTTTCAGTTACCAAGTGAGTGTGGCTTTATATTCTTGTTATTGATTTCTAATTTTATGGCACTGTAAAATATTTATTCTTTGGTACTTGCTGAGATTTTACTTATGGGCTATTCTGTGGTCAATTTTTTCAATAATTTCACATAAGCCAGAAAGCAAATGCATTTTCTTTGGTGGTAAATTTCTCTATTTTGTCCATTAGCTCAAGTTTGCTCATGAGATTGTTTAAATGTTCTAATTCCCACTAATATTTGGTATACTAAATATATCAGTTCCTAGGACAGATATTGTCAAATCACGCCCTATGATTATAGATATATTACTTTTTCTTTGCAATTATGTCAGTTTTTGAGGTTCTCTGGCTAGCCACTTACAGGATCAAGATATATTCCAGACACTCTATTTTATCCTCTATGTCTCTAACTTCTATTTTATATTTTCCCTTTATCTCTTTTTGTTGCATTCTGGCTAATTTTCCTGGTTTACTCATTCTCTTTCTAGCTGCATCTAATTTGATTTTAACCTAACTGCTGAGTTTTTAATTAATTGAAGTTATATTTGTGCTCCTTTAAAAACTCTAAACAGCTTTTTTGGTTGTTGTTTCCAATTTATTATTATTGTAACCAGCAGCTTAGCAGCTGAGCCTCAAACTGCATTTGAAACCTTTTTCTTCTGTCCCCTTTCCTCGTCCCCATCCTGGTCTCAAGATATAACTTTGAGACAAACTACATATATGTTACCTTTCATCTTAAAATACAGCCTCTGAATGTGATGTCAGCCTCCACTCCCTTTCCTTTACCATACTGTACTCCCGTGCGTTATGCACATTTATTTACCTAAGTGCTTGTTAAGCATGGACCATGCTATCTCATCTGGTCATATATTTCCTTAGAAGCTTCAGGAGTCGGATCTTGATGGGGCCAGGCACCTCTGGATATCTCTTTCCAACAAAAGACTACTTCAAGGATGGAACCCACACCTGCCTGAAGAGTGGAATTGCTTTCTGCTCTTCCCCTGCTAGCATGGATAATGAAATCTCACTCCCTTTTATCACAACTCGTTATTATTTTTGACTTTTTTCCACAAGTGGTGAGCAGCCAGACCCTTTTGCCAGTTACAGTATTTCTATTTCTTATTACTTTGTTCATTTTAAATATACTTATAGTTCTTTTAGATTTAATGTATTAGTTGCAGGTTTTTTTTTTCAGGGGGAGTAATTCTTCTTATTACATGAGCTCATAAACATTCATTTCCTTAAATATTCTTTTTTTTCCTAGTAAAGTCAACTTTAGCAGGATTTGCATGTCTTTTTGGTTTTGGTTTTAGGTTAAGAGGACAGAACCAGGAAACCACAGAGTTCAATTATCTTGGACTAATTTTACATTTCCTTTCTCAACTTGTGTTTCTTACCATGCATGTTTAAGCTTATCATGGTTTAAATATACCATGCATGTTTAATTCTTACACTTATGCACGGCAAAGTCATGATATTTTGCTAATAAATTGTCTGGACGGATAGCAAGTTTCCTCACCATTGATGGCTGGATCCTTAATATGTTCATATGGCAGTGATCTCCCTGTCAGTGAAGAAATTCAGACCAAGCTGCATAATCTCCAGAGGGATATAGTGGAAGGATTTGGTAAGAGTTGGACTAAAACACCATTATGGTCCAATTCTAACCACGCTGATGATCTCTACTCTCTTATATTTGTTACATTTCAAAGCTTGTCCACATCCACTGTCTTACTTGACAATGAGATGCCAGCGATTCAATGGTCTTTAGGCTTCATAACTTAAATCTCCTAACCTATACAGGCATGTTCAGAAGGCCCAGGACGCTTACTTAAGTCTCTCTTTCCCATGATTGGGACAGATTCCAACTTTTCAGACCCTGAGGTAGCTGCCACATCTACTCAATTCCTGTGGTCTCCTGGTAGGTTTGGGCTAGACTGGCCCTAATGCTTTGTGGGAAGGAGCATGGAGAGGAGCAGCAGCATCCACCAACACCTTCATGATTAATTATGATTCCTTGATCTCAGCCACAGCAGGAGCTCAGAAATTGTCAAAGCTTGAGTTCAATGTTTACATCCTGCTGAGAAAGTGTTTGAAATTCAGTCTGGCGGAAAAAATCATGAAACTTGCAGGTTGAGGTGTAAGCTGTAATACTAACCCAGGGGAAAATGTTGGTTTGCTCATGTTCCAGCACTTCCCAAAGAAGATTTTGGGAGACTTATCACAAGGAACACATACACACAGTCATGAACAGAAACAGAACATATGAATTTCCAAAGAAAAATGAAACCAAGCTGACAACTACTGAGTCTATTATTGCTTTTGGATATAAACAGTTGTAGCAGATTGTCTTTTCCAAAGATGGCACCACTATCTCTCATCATTGTTTTATTCTTCTGTAATGCAACCTTAGCACACTCAGCTGGGGTGTTTCTCCACTCATGTATTCGTTTCCTAGGGCTGTCATGCAAACTGGGAGGCTCAAAACAATGGAAATTTGTGCTCTCACAGTTCTGGAGGTCAGAAGTTCAAAGTCAAGGTGTCAGCAGAGTTGGTTCCTTTTGGGGGATCTAAAGGGGGATCTGTTCCATGCCTCTCTCCAGCTGTGGTGGTTGCTGGCAACCCTTGGTGTTCCTCGACTTAAAGTTGCATCACTCGTCTCTGCCTCCATCATCACATGGCTTTCTTCCCTGCATCTCTCTTTGTCTGAATATCTCCTCTTATAAGAATACCAGTCATTGGATTTAGGCCCCACTCTAATCCAGTATGATCTCATCTTAATTATAACTGCAAAGAACCTATAAAATAAAGCCATATCCCAACATTCTGGGCAAATATAAATTTTAGAGGACATTTTCTACCCAGTATAACTCCTTTGAATCTGAGCAGGTCTTGTGATTGCTTTGACCACTAGAATACTGTAGGAGAGATTCTGTGCCAGTTTCAAGCTAGTTTTTGCTTTTCGCCTCCTGGGATGTTTAGTCTTGGACATCTCCTCTTGGAACCAAGCCATCCTGCTATGAGAAGTCCATGCCACCCGGAGAGGCTACACGTAGGGGAAGGTGTTCAGATGGAGCTTCAGTTAAGCTCCTAGATAACAGCTACCATCACTTGCCAACCATATGCCTGAACCACCTTTGACATTCAGTCTAATGAAGCTTTCATGTGACTACAGCCTCAGCCAACATTTGCAACTACATGAGAGATCCGTTTGTTTGTTACGTGCACCAAGCTTGTCCCAAACTCGGGGCCTTGGAACTAACTCTTCCTTTTGTCCAAATGACTTTTCCCTCAAGCATTCACATGGACAGCTCCTTAACATGCAGGTCTGAGGGCAAATATTACCTCCTCAAAATAACCACTCGAATGTATAACCCCATGTTATTTTCATTATAGAACTTATTGATATCTGAAACTCTCTTCTTTATGTATTTGTCTACTTGGTTTTTATTCCAGATTTCCTACTCTTTCCCTTAAAATTTAACCTGCATGCAGGAGAAACCTTGTCTCTCTTGCTTACTGCACTATTGTCAACTTCCTAACAGTGTTGAACACATAGTTGATTCTCAATAAAGAAATGTTGAATGAATAAACAAATGAGAATATGTGTTTTCAAGTTAGAAGGGAGTCAGGTAGACTGGGGTCCAAATCTTAGCTGTACCATTTATTTGAGTCCTCATGCAAGTTATTTAATTTCTCATAGCTCAGTTTTGTTGTCTGGAGAATCAAAATATTCATCTCAAAGTGCTTTTGTAATTATTTGATGAAATAATTTATGTGTAGCATTCCCCAACACATTCCAGTTGGGGAACTCAGATTTTTAAAAAATACAATTAATATTATTAGAACTTGCTTATTTAGGGTGTGGTGGCTCACACCTGTAATCCCAGCACTTTGGGAGGCCAAGGCAGGCAGATCACATGAGGTGGGGAGTTCAAGACCAGCCTGGCCAACATGGAGAAAACCTGCCTCTACTAAAAATACAAAATTAGCTGGGCATGGTGGCTCATGCCTGTGATCCCAGCTACTCAGGAGGCTGAGGCAGGAGAATTGCTTGAACCTGGGAGGTGGAGGCTGCAGTGAGACGAGATAGCACCACTACACTCCAGCCTGGGCAGCAAGAGCAAAACTCTGTCTCAAAAAACAAAACAAAACAAAACAAAGAAACAAAAAAAAACTTGCTTTTTTATTATAAATCCACTGTGTCAGAAACATAATCTCAAAACAGTTAGGATTCTCAGGTTCTTTTTTCTTGTCACTAAGTGCTAGGTATGTGGGGCAGTCATTAATGCTCATCACCAAACACATGACAGGTAGGATTGTTCCTTCCTTCCAGACACATGACAGGTAGGATTGTTCCCTTTGAAGATAGGCATATGCCAATGTGATTCACATTGGCCAATGAAATGTAAGTGGGCATGATATATGTCACTTCCTTGAAGGAGCATTGACAGTCAGTGTTTAATATACCATTGTCTCATTCTGCAAGCATTTTCACTGTGCAAGCACATGGTGAGATGAAGGCTTCATTTGCTAGGACCCTGAGTGATATGGATGAGCAGAGACTCCTTGTTGACACATGCTGGATATGTAACATGAGCAAGACTTTTGTAGATTAATTTGCTGGATATGAAGGCTGTTACTGCAGCCTATCTTGAATGATGCAATGCATTTCCTAGGGTGAAGGCATTTGGTAGGACATTTTGGTCCATGGGAGGCAGTGTAATACAGAAGTATAGGGCAAGATGGGCAAGATGTGTTCAAAATATTTCACAATTAGTATAACACAGGCACGCCAATCTGAATGGCAGGAAGAACCAATTGAAGATGGATGCAGAGAGAAAACACTATCTACAAGTCAAGGAGAGAGATCATCTTGTCAACACCTTGATCTTGGACTTCTGGCCTCCAGAATCATGAGGATATGTATAAATTTCCATTGGTTACCAGTCTGTGGTACTTTGTTATGGCAGCCTTAAAATGCAAAGAAAATTATCTCCAGGGTCTCAAACTACAAGGCCCTTTTCTTAGGGACTTTCACCAACATTGAAGCTAGGTGTTCCCTCTCCCCCATCCCTTGTCTGGGAACTCTTTTCTCATCTGCCCAACCATACCTCTATCCCAGGAAACTTGATCATGCATTCTCCATGGTCTGAGGCCCCCCACAGCCTAGACTTTTCGATCCTAGACTAAAAACAAGGAAGGAAGGAGGCCAAGTAAAGAAGGAATGGGGTGAAAGCTAGAGAGAGGACAAGAGGAAGGAGGAAACATATGACACCTGTAGACATAGGACACATGTCACATATAAAGGTTCTTAGCACAGGCTTGGCATAAAGTAAATGCTTTACTAGTGGTACCTGCTATTATTGTATCATCATCATTGTCATCATCATTATCATCATCATCATCATCATCACTAACACCACCACCACCTAGGCTGCTAACAACCTGACTTAGACAACTTCCTATACCCGGAAGTTACCTCTCCTCCACACTCATTCTGTTCTCTCTCTCCCCAGAGTCTACTCGAAATTTCTCCTTGCTACCTTGCATGCTCAGATGTCTGTACCTGCTTTAGAAAACAAGCTCCTGACGAGGTTTAGCAGCCCTTGGAAAAATGAGAATTTGAATGAGTTCAAATAATTCAGAATTCAAAGCACATTCAACCTTTGAAGCTTTTCAGAGTTTTCCAGGGTTCGGGAATCCCCCAGGCCAGATGATGAATGGGGCACAGAAATGCCACAAGAGGCATAAGCACAGGCTCCTGCTCCCTGCCCCCAGAAACATGGGTTATATTTGGTGTGCAGTCATTTTCTCATTTTTCTCCATCATTTTGAAGCACTAACTCCAGATTCTAAAGGACTTATGAGTCCATAAGTCAAGCACCTTGCAAAATGGCTGCCGTTACTCCCCCATTTTTCACCCTGCCTTGAGAATAGGCCTCATTTATCTGCAGCTTCCATGCTGCCCAGCTTTCTTCTCTTTACTGCTTTGCATTTCTGTCAACTAGACTCCAGTGAGACCATCATTTAGGGATGCACTTTATCAAAATAATCAGGCCAGGAGCTGGAAGGCAAAAGCCAAAATAAGAAAGCTAAAGGGTCAAGGCTTTCCAAATACCAGAAGGAAGAAAATACTTATTTTAAGCTAATCTTTAGTCCATCCTCTGCCAGATTCCCACCCTGAGGTAGTTTTATCTTGGTCATATTTTGCTCCCTTTCTCCTGGCGGATGAGCATGACAGAACTCATCCTTGCCATTGGTTCCCCCCACCTCCCAGCAAGTCCACATCCATGGACTTGTCACTTGCAGGAAAAATTGCAAATCAGTGGGTGCACTTCACTTTGATGCTGTTATAGTTCTTGGAACAGAGGCATCTGCTGTGCGTAGAAAAAGCCATTGGCCTGTGCTTTTCTAAATCATTAAAACGCCATGGGCGTTTTGACAAATTGGCACAGATCTTTAGGCTTAGCAACTGGGAGCAATCTGTTTTGCAGGCTGAGAGAAACAGCTGTAAGACTTTGGTGAAAATCGGCTCTATTGTGTTCAAATAACTTTTAGGCAGAGAGGCAGACTGGTAAAGTGAAAATGCATGGTCTTGGGAAGCAGAGGGACCTAGTTTGGAATCCTGACCCCTCTGCTAACTGGCTGTGAATGGTTAGCAAGTGAGTTAACAATTTCCTCATCTGTAAAATGGGGACATACATACAATTCTTTCCAGATTGTTGTGATGATTAGAAATAATACCTTTAAGGTGTCTGGCAAAAGTTATGCATCATAAATGGTTTCTAGTAGAGAGGAGAGCACAACAGCAGAATTAATGATGGTTGTAGTAATAGTAGTAATAGCAATAGTTGTAATATAAGTACTAATAGTAGTTGTAGTTGTAATAGCAAAAGTAAAGTGATGAAAGTGCTAGAGAGGAGCCAGGAGACTTGGATTGTACAAGCGGTGGAATTAATGGAGTGAGTGATAGACGGAGAATCAAAAGACCTGGATTAGTCTTCGTAGTTTCTCAACATTTTGAGAGTCAGTGTAGAATTATAGAAAATTGGAAAAGTTTTATGGTCCCCTCCAAATCTTCATTTAAATGCCTTCTCTTCACCTGCAATAACATATAAATTGAATAGCAGATGTTTCTTCCTTCTTTGTGTGATTTAAATACTAATAAAAATAATGGCACCCTATGCTAACTTGTATTGAGCATGTGCTATGTATCAAACACATTTCAATTTTACACATATTGCTTCATTAAATTCTTTCAAGTGCCCTATGAAATGTGTCATAATTTTATTTCTATAGTTAGGTATTGAAGTACAAAGGAATCAAATATCTTACCCCTGGTTACAGAGCTAGTTGGAGAATCAGAATTACAACTCAGGAACCTGACTCCAAAGCTTCTGTCTAAACTCCTGTTCTGTACTATACCGTGAAAGTTGTCACAACCCAGAGTTGAGGGCACGTGGCTTGCATGATTGATAGAGAAGATTTACACTTTTTAATGTACAGTCTTGTGGTATAATTTGTCAACAGTGGTTTAGCACAGATTAGATGCCAAGATATAAGAACATAAGAACTGTTTTTGTTTATTAAAACAGTCAACAAATCAACCAACAAACAACCAATATTTACCAATATTTATTTAATTCATAGTTATTAAAATGTGACTTTTTTAAAGGTTAAAGAAGAGTCCATTTGAGAAGGAGAGGGTTAATTCTGGGACAATTGAAAGATTATATTGGAAAAGTTACAATAGGACACGATGGCGAAAGGCCTAGAATGTCAATCTAAGTCTGAACTATAGATGACAAGGAGTTGGACACCTACTCTCTTGATGGTCATAGAGGTGTCTATGGATGGTCTGAATGGTCTCTTTTTGAGCACACACATGCTTTATAATTATTATGAACTTACCTATTTCCTTTAGTAAGCTATTTATAAGCTCTTTGAGATCTATGACAATTTCAAAATTCTTCTGACCAGTGCAGACAAACTGTGTGTCCACCATTAAGGCCCCATGGGCCAGTCCAATAACCCACCCATAAAATGAGCCCCACCTATCTCTGAGAAGGGATTTTCTCTCAGAAGTTGGAATAGATTAAGAACCTAAAATCAGCTCAAACTTATTTGCTTTGGGCTTCCTTTCTTTTTCTTGGGAGAAAAAGACATGTTTGTTTTCTTTATGCAAATTCTAGGTTTATAAATACTGTTTTTTTCTCTGATTTTCAGGGTCCTTCTAATCTCCTGCTCTGTGAGGGCAAGACTTAGAAATAATCACTCTAGGAATCTCACCAAAGCAATGTCTCACCACTGCTCTTCAATATAAGAGAGCTGGCACAAAATTTCAGTGTGGCAGTTATTTTACATGAGAACTTTGAGGCCAGGCATGGTGGCTCACACCTGTAATCACAGCACTTTGGGAGGCTGAGGTGGGTGGATTACGAGATTACGAGGTCAAGAGATCGAGACCATCCTGGCCAACATGGTGAAACTCCATCTCTACTAAAAAAATACAAAAATTAGCTGGGCGTGGTGGTGCACTCCTGTAGTCCCAGCTACTAGGGAGGCTGAGGCAGAAGAATTGCTTGAACCTGGAAGGTGGAGGTTGCAGTGAGCAAAGATCGCACCACTGTACTCCAGCCTGGTGACCGAGCAAAACTCTGTCTCAAAAAAAAAAAAAAAAAAAAAAAAAAGAACTTTGAAAATGTTTGAAAATGTCACTCCATAGTTCTCTGAATTCAATTGTTTTTTATGAGACTCTGCTGTCAATCTAATTCTAATTATTTTGTAGGATATTTTTCCCCCTCTCCTTGCTTTTAAGGTTTTACTTTTGTCTTTATTGTTCAGAAGTTTTACCATGATGTGTTAAGATATGGATTGGTTTTTAATTTATTCTTCTCAGGACTCAATGTACCTTTTCATCTTTTTTCCACTCAGAAAAATTATTGGCCATTGTCTCGCCAAATATTGCCTACTCTCCATCTTTCTATTTCCTCCTACTAGAATCTTCTAATTTTCCTTTTCTGAACATCCTGTAAGATATGTCCTTGCACCTTCTTATGTTATTATTTTCAAATATCTCATAATTTCTGTGACAAGCTCTAAATTCTACTTTATTTCCTTATGTTTATCTTCCAGTTTACTGAGTCTCTTTTCGGCTGTATCTAATCTATTTACATCTACCATACTGTTTACAATTTTAGTGACTATCTTTTATTCCTCAAAGTATTATTTATTTTTAAAATATTCATATTATTTTTTCATACTCCCTTTATAATTTCTGTTTTGTCTTTTTGTCTCTAATTATATACATATATATACACACACACATATAAATAATTTTTTCTAGTTTGTGAGATGCTAATTTTCCTCATTATTACTTGTTGAATTTCCTTCATTATAATTTATTATGTTAGTTTATAATCTTAAGTGGAAACTAATATTTGGATGGTGTTTCTTTTGTAGGAGGGCCATGTGTCTTGGAACTATCCTTACATAGTGGTTTTGAATTTGTAGCTGATAAGATCCTTGTGGTCACACTAATTTCAAAACAGATTTTGTCTTTATTTCTTATTTGGACTTTTAAAAATTATGGCAATAATGTGAATGAATTTAGATCACCTACAACACATGCTTCAGGCTTGGCATTTCCATTTCTTATGGTAACTTTATTTTCTCACTTACAGTTAGATACAAACTTCCTTGAGCTGGATAATTAAATATTATCTCCTTTTCATAGATGGAATGGCATTTCAAGGTTCCCAGCCTTATGCAAGGGTCTGTGTTACAACTTGTTTCCTTTCTCTTTCTCTCTCTTTCTTTCTCCACCTACCCCTTTGTCTATCTCTCCACCCTCTCACCTCCCCAGGCCAAATCTCCTACCTACTGTGTGGTTGTAAAATTCCCAGCCACTGATTGATAAGACCCCTGTGAATCAGTGCAACATTGTCTCTTACTTAACACTCTTGCCTTAATTTTCCATTTTGTTTTTATCCCTTAAGTATTTTTTTCTTTCCTTTGAGCTCAGCATAAAGGCCAGGAGCAAAGCTGGTATTGCAGAGAAAGATGTATTTAATTAAAGGACTGTGTATTACATTTTTCCTGACTTTGACCAATATTTATGGTACTAAGGAAGTCCTGCAACATCAGCTCAGCCTGCCAAGTTGTTAGAGGTTGCCTTCACCCAATATCATGGATCTTTAGTTTTCAGATAGAACCAATGTTTGAAAGAGTTTGCAGGGTTCACTTAAGGGTAGCTTCCATAGCACCACTCTGATTTTGAGACACTAGTCAAGAAGCAGAATAGTTGTGCTGGGTATTCCCATGTAATGTTTGCCTAACAATGTAGCAGTCAGTGTAAGGATGCACTTCCGTTTTCATTATAATGATTTAATTTGAATTGCAGCTATGCTGCATTTATCTGTGTCACTGCTACCCATTGTTATGGTTGGCAAATAATAACAAAGAACATTCATTGAGCTCTTACCTATGTGCCAGGCAGTGCTCTAAATACTTCAGATGTATAATTCCATTTTATCTTTACAACAAAGAACTGAAGCACAGAGAGAATAAATAACTTGCTTGTGGTCACACAAGTGGTAGAGCCAGTATTCAAATCTGGGCATTCTAATGCTACAGCCTCATGCTTATTTAAGTGAGCACTTAAATAAATATATGTTGAATGAATGAATAGAAATATGTTGACATTATTACCATTACTACAGTCATCATCATCATTATCTTTGGGGAAGAAGAATGCATTTAAAATAGATCCTTGCTGACTATGAGCAAATAGATGATGGATGAACAAGAAAACCTACAGGCAAGAATTACATTAAGTAAGCTGCATAGGAATGTGCCTAGCCCAAAGGTTTACATTTTTAATTAGAACCATGACAAATTGTCCTTTTTTCCCCATACATAGCTCCAAGCACACTACTTGTGCAGCTAAGCATTGTGGAAACTTTTTCTTTTAGATCCAGCTTTATTTCTTCTAAAAGCTTCAGTTCTTAGAACTGCAGATAGAGACTTGAAATAAAGCAAATTTTAAAATGATCTTTGGTAGCATCCTGTAGATACAATGTTCTGTGTAGTGGAAAGAGCATATTTTTAAAAGACAGGTTTGGGGTCAAATCTAAGCTTCACTGCTTCCTGTACCTCAGTTTCCCCACTTGTAGAGTGAACAATGGAGAGTTAAACTAGTAGGGCTGTTTTGAAGACTAATTTAGATAATGTAACTAGGGTAGGCAGTTCCATGTCTGAGTCATGGTACTTCTGAACCCCTAATGATGGAAAGAGTGGACACATCATTTCTTCTCTAAGGCCTCACCGTTTAAGCTTGGGTTTGTCCTTGGGATTGGCCCTCCCTCTGTGCAGAAGGGAACCACTGCAGAGCAGCATGGTCTAGTAGTCAGGAGCACTAACTACAGAGCCAAATGACCTGCTGTAAACCTTAATCTGCCACTAGCTGTCTGTATGACTTTGGGCAAGGCTGTCTGTACCTCAGTGTCTTTGTCTGTCAAATGGGCATAAAAATAGACACTATCTTATAAGATAACTATAAAAATTAAATGAGCTAATATTTGGTAGCTGTCACTTAGAAGGTGTTTATGTAAGGATCTGTTAAATAAATAAATAAATATAGTCACTCAGAGTTAAAGATGAATGGTGAGTTTCAAATGCATATGCTTTGGACACTTATTTAAAACCTCTACTTAATAATTTAAAGGTTACAAGGTCAGGAGATCGAGACCATCTTGGCTAACACGGTGAAACCCCGTCTCTACTAAAAATACAAAAAATTAGCCAGGCGCGGCGGCAGGCGCCTGTAGTCCCAGCTACTCGGGAGGCTGAGGCAGGAGAATGGCGTGAACCTGGGAGGTGGAGCTTGCAGTGAGCCGAGATTGTGCCACTGCAATCCGGCCTGGGCTAAAGAGCGGGACTCCGTCTCAAAAAAAAAAATAATAATAAATAATAATAATAATAATAATTTAAAGGTTATCTTCATCATAGGTGGGTGCATCTCTAGTGAGATGTTTTCGTTAAGTTTTTTATTTTGTTGCTTCCTCTTGTCAGGCCCAGAGAATGAGAAGGTGTTGGAATTGTAATTGTAGGACTTTAAAAGGAGGATTCTTGTCTGGGTAGATAAGTGAGGCTGAGCTCCTCATGGCTAGAGGTCAGTGGCTTTAGGTCCTGGTGACAGGAGTGACCTCCTGGGAAGGGACAGGGTGGATGTGTCCTAGAAGCAATGATGCCTGACATCCAGTCACAGTGTAATGTCCTCATTTTGTTTTTGCACTTTGGCAAAACACATCCAACCTGAAGACCTTGTGTTTGCTGTGTATTGGGACTTCGAGAAGAACTTCGGTTCTACTACGGTGGAGAAATAGATATAGCAATGTGCAAAGTGGCCCTGAGAGGCTGGTGGCAATGCAGAGACATGATTTCAAGGCAACCATGGTGAATGGACTTAAGCTCAGAGAAGCAGCCCAATAGGAGAGGTGACAAGCAGCAAAAAGATTTTTGAAACATAAAGCAGTCTTTGGAAATTCTCAGAATGCCAGTGTGGCAATTCCTCAAAGAACTAAAAACAGAACTACTATTCAATGTACCAGTCCCATCACTGGGTATATACCCAAAGGAATGTAAATTCTACCATAAAGACTCATGCATGCAAATGTTTATTGCAGCACTATTTACCATAGTGAAGACATGAAATCAACCTAGATGCCCATCAATGGTAGACTGGATAAAGAAAATGTGGTACATATACACCATAGAATACTATGCAGCCATTAAAGAGAATAAGATTATGTCTTTTGCAGGAACATAGATGGAGCTGGAGGCCATTATCCTTAGCAAACTAATTCAGGAACAGAAAATAGAATACCACATGTTATCATTTATAAGTGAGAGCTAAATGATGAGAACACATAGACACATAGAGGGGAACAACAGACAGTGGGGCCTAGTTGAGGGTGGAGGGCGAAGGTCAGAAAAAAAATAACTATTGGGTACTATGCTTAGTACCTGGGTGATAAAATGATCTGTACACCAAACCCCCATGACACAAGTTTACCTGTATAACAAACCTGCACATGTACCCCTGAACCTAAGATAAAAGTTTAAAAAAAGAAAGAAAATAAAGAAATAAAAAGAAAAAAAGAGAAATGCCTGGAAAATGCCCTGGCCTTCCAGCAAGCTGTAGGATGAGTGCTTATATTATCTGATTATTTAAAAATAAAGACTTAACTCTGAACATCTGTAGAATATGGGCATCCAATGTTTATTCTTAAAGCAGCTAGCACAGTGCCCAGCACATTGTAAATGCTCAATCATTGATCTCCTTACTTTTCTTTTGTATCCTTTGTGAACTAAGGTCCTCCCAAGGCACCCAGAACTAGTGCCGAGAGGGCAGTGGCTTCCTTGTGTCCTGCTCCCAGGCCCAGAACAGCCTCAACCGCTTTGCCAAGCAGACCGTCCTACCTTGCCTCTCCTGGTTGGTCTCTATCATGCCCACGGCTGTAGCACCCAGGGACACCTCTTCCCTGACATCAGAGTAGATGTGGAAAAGCAGTGTCTTCTGTTGGCATGCTGAGCAGAGGCTTTCTCAATGAGCCATTTGACATCCCTGACAGCCCATGCCAGAGGAACCTTCATCCAGAAAATGTGGAGTATAGAATTACCTGGGTTTCCAGTCAGCGACCTGGCAGGTGCTTGCCTACCCAGCAGGGTCTGTGCTCACCTAAGCATTTCCTGCAAAAGAAGAAAAATCAATCTCTTTTCCCTTGTCCTCCAAACAAATGACTTTGAATAATTGTTCTGATTCAGTTCCTCTGGCTGACAGGCCTGGCTCTGTCTTCTTCTGACAGGGGCTGACATCCTGTGAGCCTGTGTCCTGCCTCTCCTTGTTCTTCTAGACACCAGCATCTTTTTGTCCTGTTGCTAACAAGTGTGACACTCTGTGCTGCCTTTGACAAGGCATGCAGGTTGGGATGAGATGCATTATTCAGCTGGCACCAGGGAGCTTGTTGGATCTCGGTTTAGGTCACGGTGGACCCGAGTCCTAGGCCCACACTACTCAAAGTGTGATATGTGCACAACAGGTAATAGATGATATGGTTTTCCATGGTACTTGGACTGAACACTTTACTGTAGTAGAAAGACACCTGTTTTCTCTTAGAATATAGAGCTTCTCCTTAGGTTAGGTTTTTTACTCAAATCACTTGAGGCAAAAAGTGAGTCAATTTAAAGGAGATAATAGCGCTGGCACAATATGGGTATGGAAAAAGTCATGAAGGCAATCTATGAACAAATACCATGTAGGCAAATTTGACTCAGGGAGGAAGCTGAGCTGTCTAGTCATACAGGGCATTTATCCAGCACTTTTTGAGCACCTTCTTTTTTTTTCTTTTTTCTTTTCTTTTTCTTTTGAGACAGAGTCTTGCTCTGTCACCCAGGCTGGAGTGCAGTGGCGCGATCTCGGCTCACTGCAAGCTCTGCCTCCCAGGTTCACACCATTCTCCTGCCTCAGCCTCCCGAGTAGCTGGAACAACAGGTGCCCACCACCACGCCCAGCTAATTTTTGGATTTCACTGCATTAGCTAGGATGGTCTCGATCTCCTGATCTGCCAGTCTCGGCCTCCCAAAGTTCTGGGATTACAAGCGTGAGCCACCGCGCCCATCCTGAGCACTTTCTATGTGCCCCTCACTGTGCTAGGCTGTTGCAGAGCTGGGGGCATAGAGGTGGCTGTGAGCATACGAGGATGCCGACCAATGGTGGGGCTGGGTGAGCATTTGTGAATTGTTTGGGATTGACTGACTGTCCTATAGCAAAAACAAGCTGCAGGGCCAGGTGCTTTGTGACTCTAAGCGGAAGGGTCTGGTACCAGACCTAAAGTAAGATAATGTCAAAGGCTGGTCCAGGCAGAACTTGACATTTTTAGATAAGTGTATAACAAGTACGGTTCCTTGAGTCTAAACCGAGTCATTGACATGCAAGCCTAATCCAGTAGGTGACCTCTGAGGGGCTGAATTGCATGAGGGCTGCTTCTGTTGAACGAGGGAGAGAGAAATGTGGCATATGAGTATCACCTTTTTCCCTAATATGGTATAAGAACCATCACTTACTGACCACAGGACAGATTGGGCACCACACAACACTGGAGGGCGTCATTCTCATCTTAGGCATTGCTTGCACCTGAATTGTGGCGATTCCAGGCAGATGAAAGTAAACTCTCTGGTTCTATCCCAATCAGCCTACTATAACCATTTTCTAGTAGATGGAAGTAAAGTATCTTGAAGAAAAGGTGCCTATAGCAAATGCACAGGCCAATCCCTGAAATGCCCAATTGGCAGGCACCACGTGAGGTATCACGGTTTTTTTAAATCTGGATGTTGCCTACCATCAAATTCTTGGCTCATTTTCTGCTCAAGCTTCTGCCTTGCCCCTTTGACTTATTTCAAGGCTTTAGGAAGCGAACGAATAACAGTCTACTTTCTCCACCTGAGAGGCCAAAGAATCAGGCAGATAGAGATGAAACTATCACCGTTATTATGAATGATACTGGAGTAAAGTGGGTCAGCCTGTTGGAAAGCGATCTTGCTAACTAACCCTGAATAAGGCACGTTTATTCATCCAGCTGCTGGCACAACTTCACACCCATGCGTCTCCCCTGATAGGGGCAGGCTCTTTACAACACGTAAGCGAGCAGGTGAGAAAAAGGGTGCAGGTAGGCAGACCCCATTTAGGGGAGACTGGGGGGGCCTGCAACTCTGTAGTTTAAGTCATGTTGCTCCCTCTGGGGAAAAAGTCCAGGAACATTACTCAAATGGAGGCCCCTCTAGGTGTGAATGAGGTACCCTAGGGTTGCGGTAACAAATTGCCAAAAAACCAGGTGCCAAAACCAACAGGTATTTATTCTATTGCAGTCTGGAGGCCAAAAGTCCCAAATCAAAGTGTGGGCAAGACCATGATCCCCTTGAAGGCTCTACTCCTTGCCTCTTCCAGTTTCTGGTGGCTCTAGGGTTCCTGGGCTTGTGGCTGCTCATTCCAGTTTCTGCCTCTGTCTTCACATGGTCTTCTCCTCCTGTGTGTGAGTCTCCTCTTCCGACTCTTACAACATCACTTGCTATTGGACTGAGAGCTTACCCGGATAATCGAGGATAATGTCATCTCGAGGTCCTTAACTTAATTACATTGCAAAGACCTTTTCTCCAAAGAAGGTCACATTTGCACATTTTGGGAATTAGGATATAGACATATTTTTTGTGGGGGGGCACCATTCAACATGCTGCAATATGAAAACATGAAGAATGGAGGATAAATGCTCTCCCCCAAGGCCCTTCTTTCTCAGCAGTGCAGACCCCAGGCTCATGCTGGTAACCCTCCCTTCTAGACCCCTCACCCCTAACCCTGGCTGTCTCTCCTGTTGGAGCACTCAGGTGCAGCACCCTGGAGGCACAGAAAGGTCCTACGCAGTGGTGACCACCAACTTCTCTGCCCTTTTTCTTTTTTCTTAGATGTATTTTAAGTATCGTGTTCGAAATGATTCCTTGGTGAGTCCTTCCCTTGTCACCCAACCCACATGCTGGCTAGAGCTAAGGCTTTAGTGGAAATAGAGAGAAATTACATTTTAATGCTCCAGAAAGAGGTAGGAAGGAAAAGAGAGGGAGGGAGAAAAATGGCAAAGAGCCAGCAGAATTAAGTGGAACAAGCTGAGGGGCCAGTGAAAATGTTTAGTTGATATGTAGCCCGCCCATAGATATTTTAAGAAGGGGGAGGACTGTGGTGTTCTTATTGCTGTCATATAAACCTCCTTTCCCTTTTAAAATCTTTAGTAAAGACTTTAGTGTTCACAGATGATTGGTGGGGCTGGTTCCTATTTGGTGAGTGGAGGTTTCAGGAAGTTTCATATCTGGGTCAACCCAAAGCCCAGAAAAGAGGCAGTCCACAATGAGTCAGTATCCAGGAAGTAGAGGCGGGAATGGAAAAGGAAGATTCCAAGAATTTTCAAAAACACAAGAAAAGAGCTTTGGACTTCCACAGGCCATGGACTGGGGAGAGGTATAAGCCGATATAAATCCATCTTTTGGGGGTAAGGAGATATCCATCTAAAAGCTGGGTTACATTTTTTCTAGTCGTTTTTCCTCAGTTATTGAAATAAATGCAAATTTCCTTTGATGACTCAACATTTGCTTGATTTTTAAATTCCAGAATAGTGACCTTGAAGATGTATACCCAGTTTTAAATAACTTGCATCTTTTTAATGCTAAGAAGCAGCAAAATTTTTGACTTAAAACTATGTCCCAACCTTTACTCAGCAGGTGGTCCCTTGCAGAAGAATATCAGGATTGGCAGGAGAGAGAGAATTGAGATACGGAAAAAAACCGGCACAGGCATTTCCCCTCGATGTTTGTAATTGACCTTGCTAGAGATGTACACAGCACTAAATTTGTAATCAGAATCGTGTGTGGAAATAGCCTTTTGCTTAATTCCTTTGTGTTATTCCCTCTCTCTCTCTCTCTCTTTTTAACAACGGCAAGGTATTAAGCTGAAGATAGAAGGACATTATAATTTTATAAGTTTCTTAATGATAGGAGGATGTCTGCTTTTGCCGTCAGGTGTGTCTGGGGAGGGTGTGCTGAGGGGGAAACCCAGGAATCTTCCTGTGGGGGTCCCACAGGAATCTTCCCTGACCTTCCAGTTTCTCAGGGCCTCATTCCTGTGGGAGTGAGAAAGAGAGGGAGGAATGGGGAAATCAGAGCCCAGAATCCTTGCTCTAACCATGCAAGGCCGAATCTCTGTCCCCTGCATAGCAAGGGATTACATGCAACTGTTTATCCGAGAGAGTGCACATGAAGGATTCAGCTGAAAGCTCTTCCAGGAGATGGTAGGAGAGGGAGGAGGGCAGCCAGCATGGGCTGATAAAGGTACAAGATTCAGAGATTGATTCCTTTTCTGTGCTGCATCCTCTGTTGAACACACCAGACTCCCAGTAGTCAATGGGCAGCTTCAGCGCCGTGCTCAGGCAATTTAAAACTTTCTAAGATTATCCCTCAATACCTGTTCCAGGCTCAGAGGAGAGAAGAAACAGGGTCACTGACAATTTTTATGGATCAGGAAAGTGAAAAGCTGACGTACAAGCTTTCTTCAAATGAAAAAGGAGGGAGGTAGAATCTATTTTTTTCCCCTTTCACTCCACCCTGTTCTTTTATCTGTCTCTATATTCACTCTGCTCTTTCCCCCTCGTATGCTGACTCTCCATTTCCCTCTGTCTTTAGTCTTTTTGCTTGTTTATTTTTCTGTTCTTCTTTGATTTTTTTCACGTTTTAAACAACTGCTAAAGCAAAAACCAAAGCTGACAAAACAGCAAACATATATTGTTTTATTACCTAGCCTCCGAGCTTCTAACAGTATGAGCATAATATCTCTCCCTAGAGAGATGGTCATTTTGAGAAAATGGCTTGAGCTGGCAGCAAACTCAGTAAATTTCATTCCTCCTGAGCTGTGCGTGACCTCACAAATCCAAAGGTGACCTTTCTTTGTCCTCTTCCATTAAGATAGGTTAGCGGTTCTCACAGGAGCCCTCTGCAGCGGAATTCAGGATTGAATCAAATTCACCATCCGTTGTATTATCCCAGCAGTTATCAGCCCTTGTAGAATGCTACAACAAAAATCAAGGTTAGAGTGGACTTTTATGAGAAAGTATTTTTCTTTTCTTTTCTTTTTTTCTCTCTTCTCAGGACTAAGGCTGTGTGAGGGGAGGATTCCAGGTCCTTTATGAGAGAAATTGTTGGGAACAAACTGTCCCTTGTGACAGTGGGGGAGTTTGACCTTCATTGTTGCTCTCCATTTCAAACTAATTACCTGCTCCGTGGGCAGGCTGGGCAATAAATCCACCAGGCATGGCGTCTGAGTTCTGGCAGCTTCAAAGTGAGGCTTCAGCATCATGAATAGTAGAGGGTCACTTCTGGCAATGGTTGAACACCTTTCTGACTCAAGAATGAATCCTGAGGGATGCTGTCCAATAGGATTTAAGGAATCAGCACTGGATTTAGGATCCAGAAGAGATGGAAAGTTTGGGGTCCCTTTCCACAGAAATGCCCTATTGGCTCACACTTTTGTTCATTCACCTATGCAATGCTGCCTGATCTCCTATTCTCTGTAAAACACTGTGCTGAATATTAGGAAGGAGACAATATCATTCATAGAAAAGTTTCTCAATATTTAGCGTACACCAGGTTCTCCTGGGAAGATTGTTAACAAGGCAGATTTTTGTCACAAATACCAAAGATTTTAATTTGGAAAATCTGGAGTGAGGTCCCATGTCTACATGTTTTACAGGCAGCTTTGTAATCCTTGTAGAAATGACCTTTGACTGACACGATGAGAGACACTGGCTTCGTGGTGAAAA
Organism: Homo sapiens; assembly: GCF_000001405.40. Taxonomy (NCBI): domain Eukaryota; kingdom Metazoa; phylum Chordata; class Mammalia; order Primates; family Hominidae; genus Homo; species Homo sapiens. Next base: position 33,219,282 of record NC_000022.11, on the reverse strand, counting down.
GTGCAGGCTTCTGATCTTATAGATATGGATTCATACCAATCACAGCCTCTAAAATAAGCTTTTCTCAGTCTGAAGCCTAGTTCCACCCCTTGGTAGCTGTTTGAATTAGTTAAGATAATGCCAGCTGCTGTATAAACTCCCCAATTTCAGTGCCTCAATACATTTGTTTCTCATGTAGGTGGTGCTTCCAGGTGGATATTCCTGGTTGATTGGTGTAGTCAGAGAGATTCAAGAGCCTTTCTTTACGGTGGGCTCCTTAGAGTTCTCTGCATCCAGATAGCAGATAAAGGCGGAAGTGGGGAAAGGCACAACTGATTCTTAAATACCTTCACTTGGAATGGACACACATCACTTCCACTTGGATTCTATTGCTGAGAACTAGTCACAGGTCCTGCCTGGATGCCAGGTGGCTGGGGAATAGTCATGTTAGGTTCCGCTTCCATGCAACCACTCTATATTATGGCAATGAAACAATACATTTTGCCAGACCACAGCCTTCTCTGCCACATTGTGTAAACTTGGCTGAGTCTCTAAATCTCACTGTCCTTATCTGTAAAATGGAGCTAACACTGCCTACCTCATCAGGTTGATAAAAGGATCATATGAGCAAATAAATATAGTACTATATGTACAGTGCCTGGCACACAGTAGGCACCCAATACATTTTAGCTCTTAGTTATGAATTCTGTCCCAAGGAGATCATGGCATGTACAGACAACAAGGTAGTCAGATGTGAGTACCACGAAAAAGGAGAAGCTAGAGTGTTATGGGGATTTGGAAGAGGGAAGAGACCACTTGCAAATACTGAAATCAGGGAAGACTTCAAAGAATTGACCTATGAACTGGGTTTTGGAGGATGAATAGTATTTGTGCATGCAAGGTATGAGATAAGGGCATTCCAAGCAAAAACAATGGTATGCATATAGGCATGGCAGAGAGAAAGGACAAAAAATATGCAGAGGATGTTTAATATGGTTGGAATATATAGGTGAGTGATGGTGACTTAAATGTCAGAAAAATGAAGTATTCAAGAAGATAATTAAGAAGTTATGGGGCCCAGCATGGTGGCTCATGCCTGTAATCCCAGCACTTTGGGAGGCCGAGGTGGGAGGATCTCCTGAGGTTAGGACTTCGAGACAAGCCTGGCCAACATGATGAAATCCCACCTCTACTAAAAATACACAGATTAGCTGGGCATGGTGGCAGGCACCTGTAATCCCAGCTGCTTGGGAGGCTGAGGCAGGAGAATCACTTGAACCTGGGAGGCAGAGGCTACAGTGAGCCAAGATTGTACCACTCCACTCCAGCCTGGGCGACAGAGTGAGACTCCATCTAAAAAAAAAAGAAAAAAAAAGTTATGATAAGGCCAGTTGCAGTGGCTCACACCTGTAATACCAGCACTTTGAAAGGCTAAGTAGGGGAGGATCACTTGAGGCCAGGAGTTCAAGACCAGCCTGGGCAACACAGTGAGATCCTGGTTAAGATGGTAAATTTCATGTTATATGTTTTTTAAACCATTATTCCTATTATAAGGAATAATACAGTAAATTATTTAAGGAATACCATATTATCAATATAGTTGAAGTCCTCTGTATACTCCTGCAAACTATATATCCTATTCATTTCCCTCCCAGAGGCAACCATCAGCCTGAACTTAGTATTTATCGTTCCCATGCATTTCTGTTTCATTTTACTACTTCACATGTATGCATTCATGGGCAATATAATAATATAGTGAATATTTAAACATTTTCTATAATGGTGTCATATGAATGTATTATCATGCACCTGACTTTCTGCCCCACATTATGTTTGGGAGACTAATCTGTGCTGCCATAGCTCAACTTCAGTGGTTCTCAAACTTTAGTGTGCACTAAAATTGCCTGGAGGGCTTGGTAATACACAGATTGCTGAGCTCAACCCCCAGAGTTTCTGCAGTTGGACTACGTAAGGACCTGAGAATGAATATTTATCATAAGTTCCTAGACGATGCCAATGCTATCAGTCCTGGAGAACTACTGCTCGTTATTTTTTTTTTTTTTTTGCTGTTAGATATTGTTAACTACCTATCATAATTTATTTATTCACTCTACTGTTGATAGATATTTAGGTTGCTTCCAGATTCTTTTGTATGATGCTATGAATATTGTGTACATGTGGGAGAGCTTCATTTGCATAGAAAAGTCTTGTCCAGTTCTATCCATCCTTGTTGATTAGCCTTCATGAAAGAGTCCCCATTGTTCCACATTCTTGCCAACCCTAAGTACTGTCCGACGTTTTAACTTTTGCCAATCTTAGAAGGGTGAAATGCTTATTGTTGTTTTCATCTACGTTTTCCTATTAATGAGACTGAGCACCTGCAGCAAATGCTCCATTTTCCTTGCCTTACCTGAGTTTGCCTCTAGCTCCCACATGTCCAAGCCCTATGCTGGCTTCCCACTGCAGTCTCCTGCATGTATCTTTCTTCTTTTCTGCCTGAGGGCTTTACCCAGCAGATGGGATAGCTCCTCTGTGGGACAGTGTGGGGTCATGTGCTACATGGTATCTCAAGAGAGTATCACTGGGGCTTTACTCTGTTGCCCTCCATGGTGAAATGATCATTAATTCTTGTTTGTTTTTGTTTTGCTTTCTACAATCCTTGTCTTACTGTCCCTATTTTCTTTTCTTTTCTTTTTTTTTTTTTTTGAGATGGAGTGTCACGCTGTCGCCCACTGCAAGCTCCGCCTCCTGGGTTCACACCATTCTTCTGCCTCAGTCTCCCAAGTAGCTGGGACTACAGGCACCCGCCACCAAGCCTGGCTTATTTTTTTGTATTTGCAGTAGAGATGGGGTTTCACTGTGTTAGCCAGGATGGTCTCGATCTCCTGACCTTGTGATCTACCTGCCTCGGCCTCCCTAAGTGCTGGGATTACAGGCGTGAGCCACCACGCCCAGCCCCCCAAGCCCTTTTTAATCCACTCAAGAGAGTGGGATAGCTCTCACTAGGTCCCACCTCCCAACACTGTTGATTTGGCACAAGAATTTGTGGGGGAGGGCACATTCAGACCATAGCATGTGGTATTATTAGTGCAGGAACTGGCAAACAGAACAATGGTGCAGAATAAAAAGAGAACTAGACCCAGGCACATATGGACATTTAGCACGTGACAGAGCTAGTATTGAAGAACAATGCAGGAAGGAAGGAGTATTCTGTAAAAGGCATCGAGACAACTGATTATCTATATGGAAAAAAATAAAATTGGATCCTTTCCTTCCACTAAATAAATACCAATTCCAGCTGAATTAGAAATCTCAATTTTAGAAACAGATGAATAATTTTTTTCTTTTGAGATGGAGTTTTGCTCTTTCACCCAGGCTGGAGTGAAGTGGTATGATCTCGGCTCACTGCAACCTCTGCCTCCCAAATTCAACTGATTCTCCTGCCTCAGCCTCCTGAGTAGCTGGGATTACAGGCATGCGCCACCACACCTGGCTAATCTTTGTATTTTTAGTAGAGACGGGATTTCGACATGTTGGCCAGCTGGTCTCAAACTCCTGACCTCAGGTGATCCACTTGTCTCGGCCTCCCAAAGTGCTAGGATTAAAGGCGTGAGCCACCACGCCCAGCCTTAAACAGACGAGGAATATTTCTATGACTTCAAGAATGATGTCTTAAGGGAAAAAAAAGCACACACACAAATCATAAAGGAGATTATTGACAGTTTCTCCTACATTGCATTTGAAATTTCTACTCATCAGGGACACCATTGAAAAGTGGAAAGATAATCACAAACTGGGATAAAATATTCTCTCTCTACATAAATAATTAAGGTCAATATTTAGTATATACAATAACTATTATGAGTTAAAAAGGGAAAGATAAACATCCCTATAGGAAAATGGGCAAAAATAGAAACAACCTGTTATTAATAAATAAATAACCTATAAACATAAAGTGATGCTCTTAGTTTGGGTTCCCCCTAAAAGTACACCATGAAACTAGACCTCTGGTGCAAGTAGTTTACTTGAAAGGTGACTCCAAGAATCACAAGAAAGTAGGGACTGTAAGGCCGGGCACGGTGGCATTTAGTGCTGTATACCTAGGAATACAGCTTACAAGGGATATAAAGAAAGAAGCACATTTTGGAGAGAAAATCAAGGTGTGGCCAATTAACCATTTGGTATGGAGTTTAGTATTGCTAGAAGAAAGCCAGGTTCTAGACATCAAGAAAATGGAAGAATGCCCCTGAAAGTATATCAGAGATTTTTGAGGCTCCCCCTCCCATTGTAGGCCCAGAGTAGGGCCTTGGGGGCAGAATGGTTTCCAGGGCACCAGGAGGACCCAGGGTGCTCGTGGGACCTTGGGGTTTGCTGTGCAGGGCCACCTCAAGTCTTTACTCCCTGCTTTCTGGCCCAGCACTCCTCAGCTGTCCCAGCTGAGGCCAGGCTGTAACATAAAGGAATAAAGCCACATCGCAAAGTCAATGCCCCAGAAAATTCTAATTCTGCCTTAGGTTGGCGAAAACAGATAATTTCATGTGAAAGACCGGGCTCCCTCGAAAATGGAACCTGAAGGAAAATCCTGCATGCACACACTTCAGTAGGGAACCATTCTCTCAGCCAAGTAGGTATGAGATTAAAGAGAGAGTGTGGCAAGGAAGGAGGCAGAGCAGATAGAAGAGTGTGCTGGCGACTGGCCACAGCTTTGTAAAGGGCCAGGAGATTCCTTGGTCTCTGAGGTCGTTCTCAGAAGGGCTGCTTAAATGACTGTGTCTCCAAATACATGATGGGAAAAAGAAAGGAGAGGAATTTTTTTATTTGAGCACCTTTCTCACACTGACCAAACATGCCTATTATTTATATATTTTGCTCCCCCCGGCCCCCCAAATTTGTATGTTGAAGTAGTAGACAGGACTTTAAAGGGCAATTAAGTTAAGATTAGTTCTTTAGGTTGGGCCCTAATCCAGTATTACTTGTGTCCTTATAAGAAGAAGAGACGAGGACACAGATACACAAAGAGAACCCATCTGAAGACACAGGGAGAAGATGGCCATCTACAAGTGAAGAAGAGAGACCCCAGAAGAAAGGAACCATGTAAACACCTTGATCTTGGACTTGTAGCCTCCAGAACTGTGAGAAATAAATTTCTACTGTTTAAGCTACTCAGTTTGTGGCATAGGTACACCTTGAAGACATTGGAGATTCCATTCCTGACCATTGCAATAAAGAAGGTGGATCATGAGGTCAGGAAATCAAGACCACCCTGGCTAGTACGGTGAAACGCTGTCTCTACTAAAAATATGAAAAATTAGCCAGGCGTGCTGGCGGGCGGCTGTAGTCCCAGTTGCTCAGGAGGCTGAAGCAGGAGAATGGCGTGAACTTGGGAGGCGGAGCCTGCAGTGAGCGGAGATTGCGCCACTGCACTCCAGCCTGGGGGACAGACAGAGTGAGACTCCGTCTCAAAAAAAAAAAGAAAAAGAAAATATCATAATAAAGTGAGTCACACAAAGTTTTTGGTTTCCCAGTACATATAAAAGTAATGTTTACAGTATACTGCAGTCTGTTTAGTTTGCAATTGCATTATATTTTAAAAAGACAAAGTATAGACCTTAATTTACATATACTTTAAATTTTTATTGCCCCCAAAATGTTAACAATTATCTGAACCTTCAGTGAATCATCGTCTTTTTGCTGGCGGATGATCTTGCCTTGATGATTGATGGCTGCTGACTGACAGGTTGGCGGTTGCTGGAAGCTGGGGTGGCTGTGGCAATTCGTTAAAATAAGACAACAATGAAGTTTGCCTCATTGATCAACTCATCCTTTTATGAAAGATTTTCTGCAGCATGAGATGCTGTTTGATAGCGTTTTATCCACAGTAGAATTTCTTTCAAAATTGGAGTTGATCCTCTGAAACCCTGCCACTGCTTCATCATTTAGGTTTATGTAATATTCTAAATACCTCGTTGTCATTTTAACAATGTTCACAGCAGCTTCACCATGGGTAGATTTTATCTCAAGAAACCACTTTCTTTGCTAATGCATAAGAAGCAACGCGTTATCCATTCAAGCTTTATTATGAGGCTGCAGCAACTCCATCTCTTCACACGCTACTTCTAATGCTAGTTCTCTTGGTATTTCCACAGCTGCAACTCCTTCTTCCACTGAAATCTTGAACCCCTCAAATTCATCCCTGAGGGTTGGAATAAACTTCTTCCAAACTCCTATTAATGTTGATATTTTGATCTCCTCCCATGAATCACAAATATTCTTTTTTTTTTTTTTTCAGACGGAGTCTTGCTCTGTCACCCAGGCTGGAGTGCAATGGCACGATCTCGGCTCACTGCAGACCCCGCCTCCTGGGTTCACACCATTCTCCTGCCTCAGCCTCCCAAGTAGCTGAGATTACAGGTGCCCACCACCACGCCCAGCTAATTTTTTTGTATTTTTAGTAGAGACGGGGTTTCACCGTGTTAACCAGGATGGTCTCGATCTCCTGATCTCATGATCCACCTGTCTCGGCCTCCCAAAGTGCTGGGATTACAGGCATGAGCTACCGCACCCGGCCCACAAATATTCTTAATAGTATCTAGAACGGTGAATCCTTTCCAGAAGATTTTCAATTTACTTTGCCCAGATTCATCAGAGGAATCACTGTCTATGGCAGCTATAGCCTTATGAAATGTATTTCTTATTTAAGAAGACTTGAAAGTTAAATGTACTTCTTGATTCATGGGCTGCAGAATGGATGTTGTGTTAAAAGACATGAAAGCAACATTAATCTTGTACATCTCCCTCAGAACTGTTGCATGACCAGAAGCATTGTGAATGAGCAGTAATATTTTGAAAGAAATATTTTTTCTGAATAATATTTCTCAACACTGGGCTTAAAATATTCAGGAAACCATGCTGTAAATGATATGCTGTTATCCAGGCTTGTTGTTCCATTTATAAAGCACAGACAGAATAGATATGGCATAATTCTAGGGGCCCTAAAGTTTTTGGAATGGTAAATGAGTACTGGCTTCTATTTGAAGTCACCACCTACATTAGCCCCTCACAAGAGAGGCAGCCTGTCCTTTGAAGCTTTGAAGCCAGGCATTGACTTCTCTCTAGCTAAGAAAGTCCTAGATGGCTTTTTTTTTTTTAACCTTGAAAATCTGTTGTTTAGTGGAGCCACCTTCATCCGTGATTTTAGCTGGATCTTCTGGATAACTTCAGCTTCTCCATCAGCACTTGCTGCTTCACCTTGCACTTTTGGTGTTATGGAGACAACTTCTTTCTTTAATCCTCATGAACCAATCTCTGCTAGCTTCAAACTTCCTTCTGCAGCTTCCTCACCTCTCTCAGCCTTCACAGAATTGAAGAGAGTTAGGGTCTTGCCCTGGATTAGGCTTTGGTTTAAGGGAATGTTATACAGCTGGTTTGATCTTTATTCAGATCACTCAGACTTTCTCAATATCAGCAATAAGGCTGTTTGGCTTTCTTATCATGTGTGCATTCACTGGAGTCACAGCACTTTTTTTTCTTTGAGACAGAGTCTCACTCTGTTGCCCAGGCTGGAGTGTAGTGGCGCGATCTCGGCTCACTGCAGCCGCCGTCTCTGGGGTTCAAGCAATTCTCGTGCCTCAGCCTCCCGAGTAGCTGGGACTACAGGTGTGTGCCACCACGCCCGGCTAATCTTTTGTATTTTTAGTAGAGACGGGATTTCAGCATGTTAGCCAGGCTGGTCTCGGACTCCTGACCTCAGGTGATCCATCGCCTCGGCCTCCCAAAGTGCTGGGATTACAGGTTTGAGCCACCACGCCCAGCCTCACAGCACTTTTAATTCCCTTGAAGAACCTTTCCTTTGTGTTCACAGCTAGGCTGTTTGGGACAAGAGGCCTAGCTTTTGGCCTATCTCCACTTTCAACATGTCTTCCTCACTAAGTGTAATCATTTCTAGCTTTTGATTTAAAGTGAGAGGTGTGTGTCTTCCTTTCACTGGAACACTTAGAGCCTTTTAAGTGTAACACTTGTAGCATTATGAATTGTCCTTATTTCAATACTATTGTGTCTCAGGAGGCCCGATGAGGAGGAGAGAGATGAGGGAATGACCAGTCAGAACATTTATAGATTAAGTTCTCTGTCTTACATGGTTCATGGAGCCCCGAAACAATTACAAATCACAAATCGCAGATCACTGTAACAGATATAATAATAATGAAAAAGTTTGAAATACTTGAGAATTACCAAAATGTGACACAGAGACACAAAGTGAGCACGTGCTGTTGGAAAAATAGCACCGATAGACTTGCTCAATGCAGGGTTGCCACAAACCTTCGATTTATAAATAACACAACTATCTTCAAAGTTCAATAAAGCAAAGTGCGGGAAAACGAGGTCTGCCTGTACCTTGTTACGGCAGCCAGAGCCAATGAATGCAAGGCCCCGGGGCAATGACTCACCCACATTTTGGGGGAGCCGCAGAGGCATCCGTGGTGTGAGGCCCAGAGCATAGGGGCAGCCTGGGAACAGGGGAGAGCCAGAGAGGGAAGAGAGGTCCACCATTCACCTGCAGCCCAAGGAACCAGGCCAGGTGAGCCCGTGTGCGTGTGAGCGCCCAGTGCTTCTCTATGGCAACAGGGGTGGAAGCTTGCATGGCATGGTGGGTCAGGCTTGAGGCTAGGTGCCATCAGGCCACGTCTGCCGGTGACTTAAGGGCAGGGAACAGCCACCATAGCAGCGGGCCTGGTGGCGGGGTAGGCAAAACAGCATGAAGGCTAAGACTGAGTTCAAGGAGGACCTCCCTCTGAGGCCTCCAAGAATGAGGTTCAGCCCTGTAGGGCTCCTAGAGCATCGTCAGTTGCAGAGGACAGGAGACCATGGCTGAGCCAATCCCAGGCGGCACACAGACCAGGTTCCGCCGGTGTCGTTCTCTTGCCATTTTTCAGAGAATGGGACCATTAAGACGCTAACTTCATTTTTTAAACCACTAGATGTCACCCTTGTGCCACCCCCGTCTATCTGCCAGACCATGCTCTGTGGAGGGCAAAGAGGACAAGGATACACGCCCCAAAGGCCTGTGGAGGCCGGGAGGGCGGCTGGTAGGGACCCCTGGGTCAAGGACCAAGGTTGAGAAGGAGCTAATGGAAAGCGACAGCCTCCTGGATCTGGAGAACACGGCTCTGGATGACTTTCCAATAGTGTTTCTCAACTTTGGCTGCATACCAGGAAAGCTTTAAAAAAACTGATGCCTGGGTCCCACCCTCAAGAACTTCTGTGTGAATTAGTAGAGGATTGGGGTGGGTACTGAGAGTTTTGAAAAATCCCCCAGTAGTTTTAATGTAGAGCCAAGATTAAGATTAAGAACCACAGCCGGGCGTGGTGGCTCATGCCTGTAATACCATTGCTTTGGGAAGCTGAAGTGGGAGGATCCCTTGAGGCCAGGAGTTCGAGACCAGCCCGGAAAAAATAGCCAGACCCCATCTCTACAGAAAAATAAAAATACAATTAGCTGGCCTGGTGGTGCACGCCTGTAGTCCCAGCTCCTCAGGAAGCTGAGGTGGGAGGATCACTTGAGCCCAGGAGGTCGAGGCTGCAGTGAGCTGTGATTACACCATGGCACTCCAGCCTGAGAGACAGAGTGAGACCCTGTCTCTATTATTTAAAAGAAACGATTGAGAACTGCTACTGTAGGCTGTGATTATGAATCCAGATATTGTACATAGAGCAAATATTTATCAATTGAATTGCAGTTGAAATGTACTCTAGAAGTTTGTTTTTATGAGCAAAACTGAATAAAGGAAAGTCAATGGATTTTTTGGAGCAGGGGTCAGAGTGTGGAAATTGAACCCACCACATCATATTTTCCTGTGACTGAATTTAATTTGAAAGGTATCTAACAAACATACATTTTATGTGGCACCCTGTGTGAGTCTCATAATATACTATCACTGTGAAGAGCTCTAATGTTGGAGGAAAATTACCATAGATCGCATCTGCTACCTCCTACCTTTGCATTTGTTAGTTCTGGAGGGTGAAGGTGGTGGAAAAGAGCTATAGAAAGAAAGTTAAGCAATGAAAGCTGTAAAGGGCTTAATACATAGTTGTTAAAATGTGACTTGTTTCGTTCACAGCACTTTTGTGATGTTTTGTCAACCACTGTGGAAGACAGTGTGGTGATTCCTCAAGGATTTAGAACCAGAAATGCCATTTGACCCAGCAATCCCATTACTGGGTATACACCCAAGTGATTATAAATCATTCTATTATAAAAACACATGCACCTGTATATTTATTGCAGCACTATTCACAATAGCAAAGACTTTGAACCAACCCAAATGCCCATCAATGATAGACTGGATAAAGAAAGTGTGGCACATATACACCATGGAACACTATGCAGCCATAAAAAAGAATCAGTTCATGTCTTTTGCAGGGACATGGATGAAGCTAGAAGCTATCATTCTCAGCGAACTATCACAAGAACAGAAAACCAAACACCACATTTTCTCACTCATAAGTGGGAGTTTAACAAGGAGAACACATGGACACAGGGAGGAGAACATCACATACCATGGCCTGTCTGGTGGTGGGGGTTAGGGCAGGGATAGCGTTAGGAGAAATACCTAATGTAGATGACAGGTTGATGGGTGCAGCAAACCACCATGGCACGTGTATACCTATGTAACAAACCTGCACATTCTGCACATGTACCCCAGAACTTAAAGTATAATAAAAAAAAAAAGTGACTTGTTTTTAAAGGTTAGTAAAGAGTCCATTTGAGACTCTTCTTTCTTCTAGAAGGATGCTCATAGACCTCCAATGGCTACTACACTGGGAAAGTTTGGAATGCAGTGACTACAATGAGTAACAACGTTTGATCTTTGTGACATAGTTACCTTGTACTTATCTTGTTGATTGCTAAGAAACCCAAGCAGCTTTGAAGACGACTTGGATTGCTTGAAACCTAAAACATCCATGCAAGGTGAAGGGGACTGACATATTCTTAGTTTCTTGGAAGAGAAAACACAGAGAGATCTTCCAGCCTGTTCTATGTGGCCTATACGATTTTCATAGATCTCATTTCCTTGGCCTTCCAATTCTAAAATCCTCACCCTAATTCCTCTCTTTTCTAGAACACCTGCATCTAAACAGGTATAATAAGATGGTAAATAGACGTGTTGGTGATACTGGAAGCTAGTGCCCTGAAACGGAGAACATTGAGCCTTAAGCATCCCACTTTGTAAAATGAAAGCATGGCTTTCCTCTTCAGGCTTATTACAATGAGGTAAAGCTAGTCCTATGGCCAACACTCATCCATACCCTCTCCAGTCTAAAGAAAAGACTAGAAATTTGAAAAGATTGCCTAAACTCAATGGAATTTGTGAAAATATGGAGTAATTGTGCCTTTAGGGGAGAAAAACTTTATTTTTTCCTCTCCCCTCCCTTCTTAATGGGGCCCGCTCCCCACCCAAGTCAAACTAGGGAGTATTCTGCAAGGACCACTTGCAGAGACCACACATGCCTAAAAGACGGTAGCCTGGCATCCCCTTTGCCCTGTTGGATATCTGTTGGAGCAGTGGATTTGCCAATCTTCAATCTGTGTGAGCAAAGGAAAAAGAAAGAAATAGAGCAATGGCTGGGTGGAAAAAGAAGCTTATAATGGGGTCGCCGACGCTCTCACTCTGTGGTGGGTGAGGATCATGAGTTTTCAATGGGCCATGTGGAAACTGAGAGTCAGCCAGTATCGAGCTTGTCTTGCCAGTGCTCCTCCCTCCTACCTGCAAGTAATCTGGCCAGCAGGGGAGGAGTACCATAGCAATAAGGTATTTTGGAAAGTATTACCTGGGGGCAGAAGGGGAATAGATATTTGGAGGAAGTCAAGTCAAAAAGGTTCTCCCACATAAGAGAATCATGCAGTGAGAAGCCTCAGGGACCTCTGGAAGCACTGAAATAGCTAGGGAAGAAGCGTCAACTGTAGCTGCGAAGTAAAAGTGCTTTTGCCACTTACCCATAATCCTTGCTTTCAGATCCTGATCTTGGAGAACTCCAAAGCATTAGGAGGAAAAGGGAATGGTAATTTAGTTTAGGCAATCTTTTCAAATTTCTAGTCTTTTCTTTGGACTGAAGAGGGTATGGATGAGTGTTGGCCATAGTACTAGCTTTACCTCATTGTAATAAGCCTGAAGAGGAAAACCATGCTTTCATTTTACAAAGTGGGATGCTTAAGGCTCACTGTGCTCCGTTTTGGGGCACTAGCTTCCAGTATCACCAACAAGTCTATTTCCCATAATGAAGGAGAATCAAAAGGGCCTGCTTCCTAGTATGCAAGGCAGTTCTGCACCGGAGAGGGGAAATGCTTTGAATTGAATATAAAAATAAAATTTTAAACTGGACTAACTGGGCTGGACATTTTAACACCACCTGTGGGATCTGCCCAATATGCCATGAAGCAGCAGGAAAGGAGGAGCCAACAGCATTTGTTTGAAGACTGATAGAAGAAAAACAAAATCATTTTGTCTTGTAGTCCACCAAGTACATGATTGTTCAAAAAACTATTTATGAGAGTTTCACACTAGACACAGAACCCAACTTTTCTCCAAGAGAGTTATTATGGAGGAGCAGAGACCTATTGGACTGTCCTATGGAGGAGCAGAGACCTATTGGACTGTGCTATGCTTTCCATATGGTTTCTTTCTGGCTGCAGGCATGCCAGCCTGCATATGTGTCCTTGGGTGGCTGGTCATTTGTTCTAGACCTTTAGTAAGTTATCTGTCCCAAACGACTTGTGACTGAAAGTTTCAACCCTAATGCAAAAAGTCATAGAAAGCATAAACTCCTTTTAAAAAATCTGAATCTGTAGGTAAGTAAGGCAGGAGGGAAGGGAAAACTTGCATGGCAAAATGGAAAAAAAAAGTCATGCAATTTGGTCAGTCACGGTGGCTCACGCCTGTAATCCCAACACTTTGGGAGGCTGAGGCAGGTGGACCACTTGAGGTCAGGGGTTCGAGACCAGCCTGGCCAACATGGTGAAACCCCGTCTCTATTAAAAATACAAAAGTTAGGCCGGGCGCAGTGGCTCACGCCTGTAATCCCAGCACTTTGGGAGGCCAAGGCAGGTGGATCACGAGGTCAGGAGATCAAGACTGTCTTGGTTAACGCAGTGAAACCCCGTCTCTACTAAAAATACACAAAAAATTAGCCGGGTGTGGTGGCGGGCGCCTGTAGTCCCAGCTACTCTGGAGGCTGAGGGAGGAGAATGGCGTGAACCGGGGAGGCGGAGCTTGCAGTGAGCAGAGATCGCGCCACTGCACTCCAGCCTGGACAACAGAGCGAGATTCCCTCTCACAAAAAAAAAAAAAAAAAAAAAAGAATTAGCATGGCATGGTAGTGGGCACCCGTAATCCCAGCTGCTCAGGAGGCTGAGGCAGGAGAATTGCTTGACTTGGGAGGTGGAGGCTGCAGTGAGCAGAGATCGGGCCATTGCACTCCAGCCTGGGCATCACAGCGAGACTCTGTCTCGGAAAAAAACAACAAAGTCACACAATATGATCAGATTTCAATGAATGTTTTCTCCCCTCTTGAGTAGTACTAAATCAATGACTCTCCACATGTGTCATATGCTAGAGATGAAATGTCCAATTTTTTTGCTGGAAACTTGACAAGAGCCTGTTTCTTTGGTCTTTCTGTTGAGTTTTTGAAGGAATCCTGCTTAATAAATTCTCCTTTAGTGAAACTGAATTCTGCTGGCTACAAATGAGAATGCTGAGGGAAACACTATTACATTACCCAGTTTTATTGTCCTTAAAACACTGAAACTCTCTTTTTATTTATTTGTTTATGTGCTATTTATTATCTGTCTCCATCCACTGAAATATAAGCTTCAAAAGAACAGAGACCTTTTTCATTTTGTTCAACTCTTTGTGCTCAGCATCTGGAACTTTTTAAAAGCTGAATTAGGGGTCTACCTTAGAGACTCAGCTTTGGAAAGAGACTTTCCCTGTGGCTGGCACATAGCAGTCTCTCAGTTTATTTTAGGTATTTTTTATTTTTTTAGTGCATGATCTCTCATAAAATGTAGCAAATGATGAGTGTCATGTGAGCATTGCCCAGAAGCAAAGGGCTGCATGTTGATTAATTACAGACAGAAGCTTGAAGGGGGTAGCATCTGAGACAGGTCTTAAAGAAAGAGTATGATTTTGGGTGGAAATAATGGGACAAGGTGTGACCAGTATATACTGTTGTGATCAGGAGCTACACAGACTGGTAAAGCTATTTTTTTTCAACCTAATATGTCCTCCATGCTTGTCCATTCGTTTTCATTTCTTTATTCATTTATTTCATAAATGTGTTCTGAGCACTCTTTTGCTATATTTCATCCATGTGCTAGAACGGAAGACTACAAAGATACTGAAGCTGTATACCTCCTTGGTGTTGCTTTCAGACAGTGGGGAGCAGGTTAAGATACTTTCAACAGAACCCTTCTATAGTAATTCCTACAATAGAGGCTTGAAAAAAAATGCTGGAATTAAGGCATGAACACAGCACAAGGGGAACACAGTTGAGGAATGGCCACCTTTGCTGTGTGAAAATGGGAAAGGCTCTTCCCAAAGCTAAGTCTATAAGGGAGACCTCTAATTTAGCCTTTTTTAAAAAAGGGATTCAAACATACTCCCAGCAGAGGAAATAGCACATTTCTGCTCAAAGGTTTGGAGAAGTGAAAGTGTTTGGAGGTGGCTTAAGGTGTTTAAGAGACATTTCTGGGATAACAGTGCTTGACTTTGATTAATTAGGTGCTAGAATCAGGGAGAGTGGAGGTTTATAGGAGTCTTGAAGATATTGAGATTGGGAAGCTGATAAGTCCATTAAATGAGACGTTTTCAAGCAAAAAGTCTTACATTTTAGTGAAATGCAAAGTTGGAATCCTCTCTGATGGTTTTAGTGATCTGAGTTGCAACCCTTTTAATAAGCCATTTTATGACTCTCTTGTGCTTCTGACATAATAACCATTATTATATTAATTCTAGTATTACATAAATAGCTCTTTCTCTGGTGGTGAAATGAGTTATTTTCTACAACTCAGTAACACTCCCTATCCGTTTTCAGCCCTCTCCAGCCCCTCAATTCGGGTACTTCTTCTCTCAGTTCTATTCCTCCCCTCTCCTAATAACATTGATTTTTCTTCCTTAAAGGCTTTAATCTGATTTTTCCAAATGTTATATGCATACCATTTATTTTGTTCATCCATCCATCCATCCATCCACTCATTCATTCATTTGCTCTCCCAAAGATATTAATGAAAGATCTGCTAAGCCTTGGGGACATACAGAACAATAAGACAAGTTCAGTCACACTCCAGGGCCTCCAGGGTTCATGGGAGAAAAGTATGGAAATGTTGACACCCACCTTTAAGTTGTGTAGGGAAGAGGCGATGATGGGACAGAATGAAATCCCTGATTCTACCAGGGTAAGGTCCGGGGAGTGGTGATCAGGCAGGGGTTCACAGATAAGGTGATGCTTCAGCCAGATCTCTGAGAGGCGTGGGCTTTCACAAGGCAGAGTCTGTGGGAAAAGCATTCTGGGAAGAGGTAGCAGCGGCAGCAAAGTCACAGAAACCCAAATGCTTGAGTTGCTGGGGAAATCCAGGGCAGTTCCTCGTGGGTTTTTCCCTAGCATGCGTTCTATCATCTCTGCTTGCCTCCCTAGCTTCATCTCATTTCCCTCTCCCCTCACTATAAACAACCTCTCCATGCCCCGGCTGAAAACACTGACAGCTGTGGAAGCCTTCACACCATAACCAACACATATTGATATTGTGGGCACACCTGGGAATCGACTAAGCACTATGAAGTTGAGGAGCCAGAGGAAAGGATCACCGCTCAGTGGTTCCCAGTATCTGAACACAGGGTGGCAGTGTCCACCCACCAAGGGGAAAGGCTAATTCACAAGCCTGGTTCCCGGCATTCTCCTGGGAGATCAGGCTCGAATTATCCTGCACGAGGCTGTCTTGCAGTAGCTCAGAATTTTAATGAGGGAGTGGGAAAGCAGATGAGCTTCAAGTGTGACAAATAAAAAAATCTAGTTTTGTTTGGGGAGGAGAAAGAGTGAGTCTGTTTATCTGCACTGGGACCTTGAATCACCAGCCTCTCTCTGTCTGTCTGTCTGTCTCTCTCTTTCTCTCTCATTCTCTCTTGCACACACACACACACACACACACAGAGAGAGAGAGAGAGAGAGAGAGAGAGAGAGAGAGTTTAGATTCTATTTTTCTAGGTTCTATCTTGCCTGTCAAACTTCAGAGATATGTTTTTTAAATTTTATTTTTTAAAGTCTTATTATATTATTATCCTACAAAAATGAATCATCACTAGCAAAGGGTGGACAAGAACTTAGCTAATTCCTGCTAATGCCTTGCTTTCCAGGAACTTTTCCCTTCCATCCATGCTAACTTTTAGGTGCTGTCTTTTCCACTGTGTCCTTTGGTTCTTCTTTAAGACAGCCATTTTTCCAGAAAAATCAGCAGGTCTCTGGCTCTTGGGTTCAACCAGATTTGAGGGATTGATGTAAACACTGTAGAACTTCGTGGGGTTTCTAGGTATCAGTTGCCATCTCTGAAAATGAAGACCTTGGGGAAGTCAAGGTGAATGAGAAAGAGGAAGAATGGCACTATGCTTTATTGAGCAGCTACTGTCAATCTGCACTGTACTAGACAGTAAACTTCAGGTTATTTAGTTCTCAGACACCTTTCCAAAGGCAGAAATATTGTAAGCCCAAGGAAATTATGTGTCATCCTTTATTGGCCTGGCATAAAACATAATTTCATGTCTTCTTGAAATAAAATGAATGAAATGAATGGCTTCAAGTTCCCTTTGATTAAGATGGCCAAGCTGGCCTATGGTTTCATGCCTGAGAGAGGAAGGACAGTTCTCGTGTAAAAAGATAAGGTGGCCGTAGTCTGTCCACCCCGGGAAGCACTGAGGTCAAGGAGACCTGCCACTCTTGCTGAATGTGGCACAGACTCTGCTCACAGTACAGAAACGGTGGATCATATTCACCTGTTAGGGGCCAGTTTCTAAAGTTGGGAGTGGGGAGAGTATCTCTTTCTCTGTTCTAGTGTCCCAGTGCTTCATGTCAAAGCAGACCTAAGCTCTTAATATAATAACAATTGTTACGTTTCTCAGCACAGCAGCCAGAATGATTCTTTTTTTTTTTTTATCATGCCGTGATGTGATCTCAGCTCACTGCAACCTCCGCCTCCCTGGTTCAAGTGATCCTCCTGCCTCAGCCTCCCGAGTAGCTGCGACTACAGGCGTGTGCCACCACGCCCAGCTAATTTTTGTATTTTTAGTAGAGACGGGGTTTCACCGTGTTAGCCAGGATGGTCTCGATCTCCTGACCTCGTGATCTACCCACCTCGGCCTCCCAAAGTGCTGGGATTATAGGCATGAGCCACCAAGCCCAGCCCAGAATGATTCTTTAAATGTAACTTGGATCAGGCTACTTGCTTGCTCAAAACGCTTCAGCGGATCTCCATTTCGTTCATGGTAAAAGCTTAAGTTCTGATGATGACCTACAAGACCCAACAGGATCTGGCCCTTATCACTTCTCTGACCCTCAGCCCCCTCCACTCTCTTTCTTTACTCAGGCCACACTGGGCTTTTCTTGTTTCCCAAATTCCCTCCTGTCCCTCTGCTTTTTCTGGAGTACCTCTCCCAGATGATGACCAGACCGTCTCCCATACCTTTCCAAATTCTGGCTTGAATGTCCTTTTCTCAGTGAAAATAATTGTGACCACCCTATTCAAAATTACAAGCTGTCTGCCCAATCCATTTCAGTTACCCCTTACCTGTTCTATGTTTTCTTTTCTCCTCCCTTCCTTCCTTCCTTCTTTCCTTCCTTCCTTCCTTCTTTTTCTTCCTTCTCTCCTTCTTTCCTTTCTTTCTTCCTTCCTTCCTCTCTCTCTCTTTCTCTCTCTTTCTTTCTCTCTCTCTTTCTCTCTTTCTTTCTTTTTGAGATGGAGTTTCGCTCTTGTTGCCCAGACTGGAGTGCAATGGCACAGTCTCAGCTCACTGTAACCTCTGCCTCCCAAGTTCAAGTGATTCTCCTGCCTCAGCCTCCCAAGTAGCTGGGATTACAGGCATGCACTGCTATGCCAGGTTAATTTTGTATTTTTAGCAGAGATGGGATTTCACCATGTTGGTCAGGCTGGTCACGAACTCCTGACCTCAAGTGATCCCCCAGCCTCGGCCTCCCAAAGTGCTGGAATTATAGGCATGAGTCACTGCACCCGGCCCTATTCTATTTTTCTTTCATTTCATAGCAACCATGACCTTTTAAAAAACATTGAGATAATTCTTATACCAGAAAAATCACCTCTTTGATGTATACCATTCAGTGATTTTTTAGGATATTCACAAAGCTGTGATGATCATCACCACTGTCTAATTCCAGAATATTTTCATCATCCCCCAAAGAATCCCTGAACCCACTAGCACTCCCTCTCCAATGCTTCCTTTGCTCAGCTCCTGAAAACCATTGATTTACTTTCTGTCTTTATGGATCTGACTATTCTGTACATTTTATATAAGTTGAATCACAACATCTGTGGCATTTTGTGCCTGCCTTCTTTCTTGGCATAATGTCTTCAAATTTCATCCAGGTTGTAGGATATATCCAGGTTGTATGGATATATTACACTTTGTTTATTCATTCATCAGTGGATGAACATTCCAGTTTTTTCTCCTTTTTGACTAACATGAATAATGCTGTTATGAATAAATTCTGAGAAGTTTTTATGTGGACATACGTTTTCGATCTTTTGGGTATATGCCTAGGAGTGGAATTGCTGGATCACATAGTAACTCCCTGCTGAACTTTCTGAGGAACTGCCAAAATAGTTTCCAAAGTGGCTGCCCCATTTTACATTCCCACCAGCGACGTACGAGGGTTTTGACTTCTCCACATCCTCGCCACAACTTGTCATTTTCTCTTTGATATCACCACTATAATGGATGTAAAGTAATATCTCATTGTGATTTATAGTATTTTATGTTCTATATAATTTACTTATTTACTATATTTATCTGTCTCTCCCTGCTGGAATGAAAGTTTACAAGGGGAAGAATCTTCGTCACTTTTGTTCATTGACGTTTCCTAGCAATTAAAAGAGTGTCGGCTGGGCGCAGTGGCTCACACTTGTAAACCCAGCACTTTGGGAGGCTGAGGTGGGTGGATCACGAAGTCAGGAGTTCAAGATCAGCCTGGCCAAGATGGTGAAACCCCATCTCTACTAAAAATACAAAAATTAGCCAGGTGTGGTGGCAGGTGCCTGTAATCCCAGCTACTCAGGAGGCTGAAGCAGAGAATTGCTTGAACCCGGGAGGCAGAGGTTGCAGTGAGCCGAGATTGTGCCACTGCCCTCCAGCCTGGGCGACAGAGTAAGACTCCGTCTCAAAAAAAAAGAAAAAAAAAAAAAAGTGTCTGCACGTACCAGGCACGTACTATGGACTGAATGTGTCCTCCAAAAATTCATATGCTGACTTCAAATTATACTACAAGGCTATAGTAACTAAAACAGCATGGTACTGGTATAAAACTAGACACATAGATTAACAGAACAGAATAGAGAACCAAGAAGTAAAGCCATATACTTACAATCAATTGCTCTTTGACAAAGTCAAAAAATATATATGCTAAGGAAATAATACCCTATTCAATAAATAGTGCTGGGAAAATTGGATAGCCATATGGAGAAGAAAGAAACTGGACTCATAACTCTCACCATATACAAAAATTAACTCAAGATGCATTAAAAACCTAAATGTAAGACCTGAAACTATAAAAATTCTAGAAGAAAAGCTAGAAAAATCTCTTCTGAACATTGGCCTAGGCAAATAATTTATGACTAAGTTCTCAAAAGCAAATGGAACAAAGACTAAAGTAGATAAATGGGACTTAATTAAACTAAAAATCTTCTGCATAGCAAAATAAACAATCAACAAAGTAAACAGTTACCCTACAGCAGGGAAAAAGTATTTGCAAACTATGCATCCAACAAAGGACTAATATCTAGAATCTACAAGGAGCTCAAACAACTCCATAAGAAAAAAAAAAACCTCAAACAGCGCTATTAAAAAGTAAGCAAAGGACACAAAGAGATATTTTTAAAAAGAAGACATACAAGCGGCTGACAAATATATTAAAAAATGCTCAACATCACGATCATCAGATAAATGCAAATTAAAACCACAATGAGATAATGAGATACCATCTCACACCAGTCAGAATGGCTATTATCAGAAAGTCAAAAAACAACATGTTGGGAAAGATGTGGAGAAAAGGGAATATTTATACACTGTTGGTGGGAATATAACTTAGTATGACCTTTATGGAAAACAGCATGGAAATTTTTCAAAGAACTAAAAGTCTATCATTCAATTCAGCAATCCCACTACTGGGTATATACCCAAAGGGAAACAAATCATTATATCAAAAAGAGACTGGCACTAGTGTGTTTATCACAGCACTATTCACAATAGCAAAGGTATGGAATTAACCTAAGTGTCCATCTACGGAGGACTGGATGAAGACAATGTTCTATATACATGTATCTCACATTCCATGTAGTATAGTATTTTAGATACGTGTGTGTGTGTGTGTGTGTGTGTGTGTGTGTGTGTGTGTCACGGTGTATATATATACTATAAAAGTTTGGAGGGTGGGAGGGAGGTGAGGGTTGAAAAATCACCTACTGGGTACAATATTCACTATTCTGGTGAATATTCTAAAAATTCTAAGAATTCTGGTGAATCACTAACAGCCCAGACTTCACCACTATGCAATATACACATGTAGGAAATCAGTACTTGTGCCCCCTAAATATCTGAAAATAAAAATTTAATAAAAGAGGAGTTTGAGGCTGCAGCGAACTATGATCATGATACTGCACTCCAGCCCAGGTGGCAGAGTGAGACTCTGTCTCAGATATATATACATTTTATGTCATAGCTTGCAGATGTCTTAAAAGTGTCTTTCCTTAAAGATGTCTTTCAAAGAGCAAAGACTCTTAATCTTTATACAATTCAATTCATTAGTATTTTTCTCTTAATACGTTGTACTTGTTATATTTTTAAAAATTATTTTCCTAATCAATGTCTTTCTCCTGTTCCCCCCACCCACCACACCGCTCTGGAGGTTACATATTTTTGCTTTTACATTTAGGTTTATGATCCGCTTCAAACTAATTTTTGTATGCACATGTGGTTTGAGCTGAGGGTCAATGTCAATGTTTTATATAGATATAAAAATTTTCTCTTTTTGTTGCACAGCCTTTTGTTGAAGATCATTTGACCACATTTTAGTGGGTCTGTTTCTGGACTCTATTATGTGGCATTGATCCATATGTCTGTTTATATACCAATTCCATACTGATTTGATTGCTATAGAGTTATAGTCAATTTTGATATCAGTTCTACCACTTATTTTTTAATTGCTTTGCTATTCTAGGCCTTTTATATTTACATAACAATTTTAGGATTAGATTATCAGTGCCTCTGAAAAGCCTTTTGGGCTTTTGATTGGGAGTGCATTGAATATATAGATTCATTTGAGGAGAATTGACAACTTTACAAAATTGAGACTCCCATTTTAGAAATATTGTATGTATCTTCATTTATTTAGAACTTCTTTAAGTTCTCTCAACAGTACTCTGTATTTATAGTAGGGCTATTATACTTCTTTTATTAAATTAATCCTAAGTAAATTTACATTTATGTTTTTGGTGCTAGTATAAATGAAATTAATTTTTAATTTCATTTACCATTTTTTTATTTCTAGAAGATAAGACAATTGAGTTTTATTAACCTTATATTCTGCAAATTTAATAAATTCACTTTTTAACTCTAGTAATTATTTTTATAATTTATTTGAATTTTATATATAAACAATCACATTTTCTGTAAATGAAGACAGTTTTCCTTCCTTTCAAACATTTGTGCTCTTTGTTTTATTTTATGTATCTTTGCCTTACTGCACTGCTGGAACCTCTTATACAAAATCGAATACAAGTTATAAGAGCAGGTATCCTTGCTTTGTTTCCACTCTTGTGGGAAATATTTAATATTTCACCATTAATTATGTTGGCAGTGGGATTTTTGTAGCTCTTCTTTAATAGATTCCTTCTCTTACTATTTTTCTGAGTTTTGTTTCCATGAAAGTGTATTTGCATTTTCTCAAATGTTTTTCTCTGTATCTGTTGAATAATCAAAAGTGCTTTTTTTCTGTTAATATATTGAATTAATTGATTAATTTTCAAATGTTAATCTAACATGGAATTTCTGGGAAAACCACATCATGGGGAATTATCAGTTTTACACATTATGCTAGTATGTTGTATGTATGTATTTTTTTACATTATGCTAGTCATGAGTAGTTCATTTTGCTAGTTAAGGACTTTTGAGTGTAAAGCCATGAGGCATAGTGGCCTGTAATTCTCTTTTCTCTTCTTTTTTCATCCTTTCTCACCCTCCTCCCTCTTTTCCTCCTCTTCTTCTTTCTACTTTTTTTATTCCTCCTCCTTATTCTTCGTTTCCTCTCTCCCTCTCTCTTCCTCATCCTTTTGCTCTTTCATTTATAATATTCTTATTAGTATTTACTCTTATTGTTATGGAGATCCCAAAGTTGAATGAAGTAACTGTTCCCTCTTCCCTATTTTGCGAAAAATTTTATTTAAGGTGAATTTCCTTATTCATTTGCTGTTTGATATAATTTATCAGTGAAGCAATCTGGGCATAATGTTTTCTTAATAAAAATAATTTTTAATTACAAATTTTATTTTTAATAGACATATGTTTGTTTAGAATTTCTGTTTCATCTTGCATTGTTTTAGCTAATTGCTTTTAAAAATACATTTCCCCATTTCATTTAACTTACTAAATTGAATGCCATAAAGTTGTTCATGATATTTGCTTCATACCCTTTTGAAGTCTGCAGCATCTTTAGTGATAACTCTGCTTTCTTTCCTATATGTTATATGTACTCTTTTGTCTTCTATTGCCTAGTTTAGCTAGAAATTTATCAATTTCATTGATCTCTTCAAAGATACAATTTTTGGCTTTCTTATCTTTCTCCGTTGTTTCTCTCTTTTTCAGTTTGTTGATACCGGTTTTTATCCTTACGCTTTTTTTTTTTTTTAATTTACTTTGGGTTTACTCTGCTTTTCTTTTTCTGGTTCATAAAGGTGGTATGTTAAGAAATTAATTTTAGGCCAGGTGTGGTGGCTCACACCTGTAATCCCAGCACTTTGGGAGGCTGAGACGGGCGGACCACGAGGTCAGGAGATCGAGACCATCCTGGCTAACACGGTGAAACTCCGTCTCTACTAAAAATACAAAAACAAAATTAGTGGGACGTGGTGGCGGGCGCCTGTAGTCCCAGCTACTTGGGAGGCTGAGGCAGGAGAATAGCGTGAACCCGGGAGGCAGAGCTTGCAGTGAGCTGAGATCGCGCCACTGCACTCCAGCCTGGGCGACAGAGCAAGACTCCGTCTCAAAAAAAAAAAAAAAAGAAAAAAGAAAAAAGAAATTAATTTTAGGCACTACTTCTTTTTTAATAGAAGTGTAGAGTGTCATAAATATTTCTTTAAGCATTGCCTTAGCTGTATCATCTAGATTTTGATATATTTGCATTTTCATTTAATTCAAACAGTTTTCTGGTTTCTTTTTTGATTTCTTCTTTGACCCATACATTATTGTAAATCTATAATTTAATGTCAAATATTTGTGGTTTTCTTAGTTACCCTTTTGTTACTTGTGTCTAATTTAATTCTGCTGATGTCGGATAAGTATTCTGGGTAATTTCAATCTTTTAATTTAATAAAACTTATTTTATGACCCCAAATATAGCCAATAATGATAAATATAATATAAAATCTTAAAATTAATATGTATTCTGCAATTATTGGGTCGAGTTTTCTACAGATACCAGTTAGTTCAGAATAGTTCATAATGTTCAGATCGTTTCTCTGCTTACCATTTTACCAGTTGCTGAGTGAGGAATGCCCAAATGTCTTACTCTAATTATGGAGTTGTCAACTTACCCCTTTTGGAGATATATAGTTATTATATTTAAGAGCATCTGTTTGAAAGAAGGGTATTTTTCTATACTAAAAGTAACCAATTTAAATCTTGATTGAGATATGACGGTTCTAATAACTTGATACAGGCACATATACTACACCACTTCCTGATAAATGCTTGAACACAGATTTTAAAAAATAAATAGTTGGTTAATTTATTCCTTTAATGTATTATCCCCTTAGCAAGCTGAAAAACCTTGGGCAACTTTAGGGTGTTGACAGGGTAGTTAAAATATCGGAGCAATGAGTTGTCTAGAGATTTGGGGAATAGCAGATGGTTAAGACTCTGGGCTGAGAGTCAAGAGAAGCACTCTTTCTATCAACCTAGGTGTAATGCTGACTGGTCTGGCAAAAGTCACTCCTTCACTCTGGCTCTCTATTCCCCTTTCTGTAAGATTACGCAGTTGGAATATGGAAGTTTAGGAGTCTTCCAGCACTATCATTCCGTGTCCCTGGCATCTCAAGAATGTGGCCTGCAGGGTGGGGCTTGAGAAGAGGCCAGAGAAGAAGCAACAAACCAAACTTTGTCTACTTCCAAGGCCCAGTTTTGACCCTTAATCTTAGTAGAGACTGCAAGAAGTGGATGGACAGAAGTTCTTAACATTCAATGTCAACTTCTCTTAATATCTATACTAAAAATATTTCATATAACCCAGACATTAGGCTCAGAAGAGACTAAAATCCAAAATTTAATCAATTGAATAAACTCTCCATCTCTAAACCTTGAAAATCAAATTGATGGGATAGGAAAATGACAGCTAAAAAAAACTTGGCAAATGACCTTCTGTCCTTAAGTCTGGATATCTGAGGAATGACTAAGAGTTCATGCCGTGCAAGTCTCAGGTAAGTTTATATGTTAAGGACGATTGCAATAAAATAAGCCATTTATCTTTGTTTAGAACTCTTTTCAAAGCACTTTCTTCTGCAATTAATTTATGCCCATAACAACCCCAGGAAACAATTTCACCATAACTTTGGACAAAGAAACATATTTCATTTAGCTATACCATAGATTTTGAAACAGAAGAAGTCAAATTGGGGCCAATTCTCTTTTAGTCTTTATGTAAATAACTGTGAATTATAAAAAGTAAGTATAAAAATTTATGACATGAATAATGCAGACAGTATAAAATTTATCATATTTTGTTAAATAATATATTGTTTTAATAATGTGACATCTATGTTTTTATATATATGTAAAATTATATATAAAATATAAACATATATAACATATAAAACATAATCTATAACATATTTAATATATATAACATATATAATATATAAAACATATATAATATATAAAACATTATATATAATATATAAAAACAATATATATAAAACATATGAACACATATATATATAAATTACTTTTTATAGTCTCACTCTGTCACCCAGGCTGGAGTGCAATGGCAAGATCTCAGCTCACTGTAACCTCTGCCTTCCGGGTTCAAGCAATTCTCATGCTTCAGCCTCCTGAGTAGCTGGGATTACAGGCATGCACCACCACACCTAGCTGATTTTTATATTTTTAGTAGAGATGGGGTTTCACTATGTTGCCCAGGCTGGTCTTGAACTTCTGGCCTCAAGTGATCTGCCCACCTCATGCCTGACCTCCCAAAGTGCTGGGATTACAGGCATGAGCCACCGTGCCCGGCCGACATCCATATTATGTTAACCAGATGTGTAATGCACTGTATAGCACATTAATGCATTCTGATTATCTTCCTGATTTCTTATATCTATCTCTGCTTCTTTCTTTATCACTCTACTCATATGTGATTTGCTGTGATGTTCCTATTTTATCATTTCTTCCTTTGATTTCTTTACTGTCTCTCTTTTTGCTTTTCTCAATATTCTTTGAATGGTTTCCTGCCCATTCGTTCCTTAAACTCTCTTGCTTTTTCACTGATTATAATATTTTTAAAAAGTAATAAAATGGGTTGTACTTAGTGATTTAGGTTAAAATATCCAGAAATTAACTAAACTATACTTTTTTCATTCCTTTGTCTACCCACACTCTTCTCTCTCAGTCTCTCCCTCTTTATTCTTTTTTCCTCATTGCATCCAGAGTATTACACACACACATACACATACACACACACACATCATAAACAGAATCAGAATAAAGTTATATGTGAAAAATAAAAACAAATAAAATGAAAAGTAGGACAATGGAAAAATTAAAATGCAACTTCAAAATGTTAATTTATTAGTTAATTGATCTTCGACAAAGATACCAAGAACACACATTGAGGAAAGTACAATTTCTTCAATAAATGGTGTTGGGAAAACTGATTATCCACACATGAAGAATGTAATTGGACTCTTATCTCACCCCATACACAAAAATCAGCTCAGAATGAATTAAGGTCTTAAATGTAAGACCTGAAACCGTAAAACCACTAGAAGAAAACAGAGAAAAAGCCTCTTGACATTAATCTGGGGAAAGATTTTTTGAATATGACCCCAAAAGCACAGGCCACAAAAGCAAAAATAGACAAATAGGGTTTCATCAAACTAAAAAGCTTATGCATAGTAAAGGAAATAATTAACAGGGCAAAGAGACAACCCATGGAATGGAAGAAAATATTTGTTAACTGTACATCTGATGAGAGGTTTATATCCAAACTATGTAAGAAATTCATACAATTCAATAGCAAGTAAACAACCAGATTTTTTTTTAAGGGGAGAAGAACTGAAAAGACATTTCTCAAACGAAGACACACAAATGGCCAACAGGTTTGTGAAAAAAATGCTCAGCATCACTAATCATCTGGGAAATGCAAATCAAAGCCACAGTGAGATGCCACCTCACACCTGGGATGGTGATTATGAAGAAAGTTCTTTTAATAGGCAGTGGTTCCAATAAAGCATCAAGGAGATTTGAGGGTTGAGTTAACACACAAGTGAGATATTCATCAAAACACCTTTCGGATGTCTCAGTTCCTTCACCTCTAAAAGGGCAAATAATAATTCCTTTTACTGATGATACTCTTAATGATATGTAAAACTCTTCCACAAAATTTTATGTAGTCACTGCACTTGCCTTTCATAAACAATAGATACTAAGATTAGTTTTTAAGGTAGTTTTCTTAAAATCAGAAGAGAAAATGAAAAGATTTCTAGTTTGACCCTTAATCCAGGGTTGGAAAATAAGAAGTATATTTAGATATGCTTAATGTTCAGTTTTCATATAAGAATCTTCAGAAAAATATTTCTGATTATGCTTGAAGTCATATAAGAGCCCAGTTCTAAAAGGTTTAAGGATTCAGTCTGTGTTGATACACTAGTGGGGAAAATCTATGATTAATGTGCTTAGTGAACACATCATAAGAAATATGTTTCCATGGTTGGTTCTGTTCAATTTTAAATTTTTATGATTTTAAATATTTTAGTTCCTGTAATGTATTTTGGACAAAGAAACATGGACGCTGAAAGGGCCACTCACCAATGCCTACATGACCCTTCTAGAAACCCTGTAGATTATGTTGTGGCACTCACAGAGTTACACTCATGTCTGTGCTCACCTTGCCAGCACCACTGGCCAACATTTCAACAGCACCTGTAACTCTGGGGGCAGAGTGGTATTATGGGTGAAACCACGGACTAGGAATCTGAGGTCTCCTTTTAGTTCTAAATTTATCTGATCTCACCACGAAGCCCCTTTGAAAACCAATGACATTATTTCAAACACAGGGATTCTTGAACCTGGTTGTGCATCAGACTGACCTATGGGCTTTGCTAAACAGGGACCTCATTAAACATGTTAGTTCCTGGGCGCACCGCTCCAGAGATTCTGATTCAGAAAAGCCAGAGAATAGCCAAGATGCGATTTTATTTTTACTGTCTCTGTCAATGGTTCTAATAATAAGTAAATTTAGGAACTGCTGTTTAAATTCTTTTTTAGTTGTAGCAGAATGTACTTTTTACATAACTGTATCTGTTTCCATCATCATATCCCAATATTCATCTTTAACTCTCTATTTTATGTAATGAAACCCTATGGGCAGTTGTGTAAAATAATATTGAAAAAACATCTTATGAATGTATTCAATAATTCATTCAGCAAACATACATAAACTGTCAACTATGCTACACACTGTGAGAGTGCTTAAGATACCACATTGAAGAAAACACAGACTCACAGCCTAGTCAAGGAAACAGGTGTTTAAAAAGAAAAATTACAATTCATAATGCTAAGGGCTGTGATAAAACTTAGCACAAGGTGCTGCTATTACCAGGGTGCAGAGGAGAGAGTTTTACCGAATATGGGAAAGGCAAAAAAAGATTTCCCAGGATACAAGATGCTTAAGTTGAGCCTTGACTAGAAAAGAGAAAGTAGCAGTGAAGGGAGAAATGCATTGAGTATAAAATGCATGATTTCAAAGTCAACTATTTCTACCTTCTGCTTATTTTGGAGTCTAGGAATCCCTGGTTTCTATGGAGAACAAAGACCAAGAGCAGTAGAAGGAGATATTGAAAAACGTTCATCCCCACCAAGATCTGCATTTGTGGTGAAACTGATCGGACCCCTCCCAGTGCCCTTCTAGCCCATTGTCTTCAAGGAAGCCCTTTATAATACTCAGTTCCATTTCCATTTCTCTGGTGAAGGATTCACCTGTACCATCCCTAGTGTGTACCACTTTGGTTTTGAATTTGAGCTGTTTCAGAGCTGTGCAAATGTGGGTATTATGAGGAATGGCATCCATATGAGAAATAAACATGCTGTGGCCAAGGATGGCTATGAGCAGGAACCGCCATATTGCAGCTGGAGTGGTATTGCAGCTGCAGAAGGAGCTGTATTGCAGCTGGAGAAGGAGGACGTGGTCTGGCTGTAGTCTAAGCCATAGGAATTAAAGTCTGAAGAAGGAAATATTCAAACTCTGTTCTTTTTATGTACTCTATGGAAATTAAGAAGGCTGGGGAGTAACAGTACTCTTCCCAGTCTCCAAGAAGACCTGGTATTAAGAGCAAATCTTACTTTCCCAATTCTCTACATAATCCCCCCAGCACTATTGAGCTGCTGCTAAAAAAAAAAATGTTTTGTTTATACAGTGCTATCACTGCAGAGCTGAAAAATACTAACCAAGCTACACATCTATTCTCATTGCTTACTGCTAATTCAAGTCAGTTTTAAATATTAATTATCTCATAAAAGTATGAGCATGGATAATCCCAGTAGTGTAGACAGATGAACTAGCCTGGCTATTCCCTGGGGTTGCCCTTTGTCCCTTTGGACAACTTCTTGTGAATTCTGGTATCAAAAGCTTAGATGCAGCAAGCCTGGCTGTCCTTGCTGTGCCCTCTCCCTGCGATACTGTTACCTCCTCATACTTGTTTACCTTCGACTCCTAACTCTGGATCTGGGGCATATTGCGATGAATATTCCTTGCTTCTGTGAATGTGTGGAAAACTGATGGAACAGTCTGTGCCCTCTCTTCCCAGCTGACCATCTCACCACTCCATTTCCACAATGCTCTTTCCCACATGCCAGCAGCAATGGGGCTTGTCCTCCATCCTTACAACCTCCATATGGGGAATCATGTGGCAGTCTTCATTATTGGAACCACTCACAAATTTTACAAAGATCTGTTAATCTTGGAGATCCTTTCTCTAGTTAGGGAAGTAGAGGTCATGTGGTTATCCCTTCTTTCAACTAGAAAGCAGCGCAATAAAAAGAGTGAGTATCGTGAGTGTGTGTATGTGCGTGTGTGTGTGTGTGAATCAAGAAACTCAGAAAGAAAAAGGCAGAATGTCCAAGATTTTTCCACCATCAGATAACTGAGGATGATTTAGTCATCCATCACCACCTTGACTAGGGAATTTAGTGAGTTTGTTTGTCTTGAGGAAAATCCAAGTCACTGTGTACTGGCCAAGCCATTACAATGGGAGCATGGGGGACTTCATTCTGGGACGACAAAGCCAGCATTGTATGCATTTGCCTCCTCTTGGCATGGCTGTGCTAATTCTTATCAGGATGTTGTCCTGTGAGGCACACCAACGGCTACTGTAGAAATGAGAAGAAAGGTTAATATTCCCACTCTTTCCAGCTTTGTGGACCTCTTGGGATCTCAGATGCTCTTAAACCATCAATATGGGGGTTGCCTGACTGGCCTGTATTGCCTAGTCTTTCTGGCTCTGCCCAGGGATCATAACTTTACTGGGCACCCAACCCTGGCTGAGAGTGCCCACACCTTGTGTCCACGATCACTGAAGCCCATTGGGTGGACAATGTTGGCGACCACCTTGACATAGCCCATGACTGCGCCTATTTTATAGGTTACTGCTGACAGGCAATAGAGAGATGCCCTTGTCCCACAACCTCCTGCAAGTGCCTTCCTGGAAGTCAAGAAACTCAAAGCAGGCAGATCCCCTCACATGAGATCCAAATTGGCAGTGGTCCAGCTATCATATAGGGTAGTTCAGAGTATGAGTGTGGGCAATAGGACTCCCATGAGAATGAGACTGGCAACTCCTCCAGCTCCAATTGTCATTATATCTAAGCAAGTGATTCAGTGCCTGGTTCCCTTCTGCTGTGTGCTTGTATTTAGAGTCCAGATGGCTTTAGTCAACCTCATTGTTCAGCCATTGAAGGTGCCCTGCAGTGACCCCCACCTTAGTTGTTGCTTTAGCTACTCTTTGTAATGTTCTCTCAGCCCAGCAGCTTGAGGATGATATGAGTCATGCATCCTCTATTGGATGCCACAAGAGGCTGCCTATTGTTGAGTAGCATTTGCAGCAGGCCCGGTGTGAGCTCAGTCTTCTGTATCCCATTTCCCCTTAATGATGGACCTGTGTTGTACCTGCCCCTCCTTATTTGTTGGGATAGAATTGACCCGGTTCAAAATGAGCAGATTGGGCCTCAGCAACATGGTGGGTTCGTGAATTATGCATCCTGTCTCCATTAGTGTCCAGTAAGAGTTTCTCGTTAATTTCGTGTCTTAGTCTGTCTGGATTGCTATAACAAAATACCATAGGATGGGTGACTTATGAACAAGAGTATTTATTTATTTATTTATTATTTAATTATTATCAGCAAAAACATTTTCTTTTTTGGAAAAAATTTTTAATTGATGCATATAAGTTGAGTATGTTTATTATATACAATATGATGTTTTGAAATATGCATACGTTGTGGAATGGCTAAATCAAGCTAATTAATATAGACATTACCGCACACACTATTTTTTTGTGGGAGAACACTTGAAATCTATCCTCTTAGTGATTTTTTTTTTTTTTTTTTTTTTTTTTTTTTTTTTTTTTTGAGACGGAGTCTCACTCTGTTGCCCAGGAGAGTGCAGTGGTGCGATCTCAGCTCACTGCAAACTCCACCTCCTGGGTTTACGCCATTCTTCTGCCTCAGCCTCCCGAGTGGCTGGGACTACAGGCACCCGCCACCATGCCCGGCTAATTTTTTTTTGTATTTTGTTTCGTAGAGACAGGATTTCACTGTGTTAGCCAGGATGGTCTCAATCTCCTGACCCCGTGATCTGCCTGCCTCGGCCTCCCAAAGTGCTGGGATTATAGGCGTGAGCCATCGCGCCCGGCCTCCTCTTAGTGATTCTTAAGACTACAGTGCATCATTATTAATTATAGTCACCATGTTGTACAATGGATCTCTTGAACTTATTTCCCTTATGTAACTAAAATTTGCTATTCTTCTACTAACATTTCCCCACCCCATCCCACCTCACTCCCATCCCTGAGCACTGGTAACTACAATTCTACTCTCTGCTTCTATGAGTTCAACTTATTTAGATTCCACATATAAGTGAGATCATGCAGTATTTGTCTTTCTATTTCTGGCTTATTTCACTTCACATAATGTTCTCCAAGTTTGTACATGTCACAAATGACAGGATTTCCTTCTTTTTAAAAGCTGGATAGTATTCATTATGTACATATACCACATTTTCTTTATTGAGCTTATTCATTGATGTGCACGTAGTTTGATTCCATATCTTGACTACTGTGAGTGATGCTGCAATGAACATGGAGGACCAAATACTTCCTCAACAAATCGGTTTCATTTCCTTTGAATTTATACCCAGTCGTGGGACTGCTGGATCATATGGTAGTTCTAATTTTAGTGTTTTTGAGGCACCTCCATACTATTTCTCATAGTGGCTGTACTTTGAATCACATTGGTGCCTTTCAAAAATCAATTGAGCATAGAAGCATGCATCTATTTCTGACACTAATGGAGACAGGATACATAATTCATGAACCCACCATGTTGCTGAACTGATGGCTTTGAACATTTAGAAAATATATAGATACATAAATTTATATATCTAAATATTTCATCTCTATATTATGAATTAATTTTCAAAATTTTATTTCTCAATGCTGCTAACATGTAGAGACACAATTGACTTATGTATTTTGATGTTATATCATGTGACCTTGCTAAACTCACATATTAAGTCTAATAGATTTTTACTTTACTTTGTTTTTGATTTCTTAGAATTTTCAATGTAAACAATCACATTCTCTTTGATACTTATGCTTTAATTTATTTATTTTTTACTTTATTCCACTGGCTAGGACTCCCAGTAGAATGCTGAGTAGAAGTAATAAGAGTGGTCATACTTAATTAATTTCAAATCTTTAGGAGAAAGTGTTTAGTGTTTCAACATTAAGAATTATGTTAGCTCAAAGATTTTTGCATGTGACTTTTTTTTCAGATTGTAGTGGAAGCTTTCTAGTCCTATTTCGCTGGGAGGTACATTATGAATGGGTACTGAATTGTGTCATATACTTTTGCTACATTAATCAACATAATTGATTGTCCTTATTCTGTTAATGCAGTAGCTACTTCTCAAATGTTAAGACAAACCTGCATTCATGAGATAAACCTTGTTATGATTTATCACCTTTTTTACGTATCACTGGATTTGATTTGCTAACATTTGGTGATTTTTTGCATCTATATTCCTGAAAAGTATTTGTTGATATATTATTTTCTTGTTATGTTTTGGTCAAGTTTTGGTATCAGTATTATTCTGGCATTATAAAATGAATTGGAAAATGTTGTTTCTTCCTTATTTTCTGGATTTGTGTGCGATTGATTTTTTTCCCATAATTGGTTGATAGACTTCAACAGTGAAACTATGCCTAGAATTTTTTTGTAGGTTTTTATTATAAAGAACTTTTTAAAGTTGAGTTCTTGAATAGCTACAGAGTAATTCAGATTTTCTATTTTATCTTGTGCTGGTTTGATAAGGTAGAAATTCTAGTAATTTTTCTTTGATCAAATTTGTCAAACTTATAAATTCTTTATAATATTCCCTTAATATTCTTTCATGTCAGTAGGATCACTAGTAATAGAGCTTCTTTTGTTCTTAACATTGTTAATTGTGTTTTCTGTCTTATTTTCTTATTAGTCTTCAAAGGGACTTAACAATTTTATGAATTTCTTCAAAGAACAGACTTTCGGTTTTATTAATTTTTGTAAGTAAACTATATTTAGAACAGTTATAGATTCACAGCAACATTGAGTGGAATTACAGAGAGTTCTCATACACCCCTTCCTCACACACGCACAGACTCTTCCCTCTCAAGATCTCATGCCACGGTGGTACATTTGCTACAATCAGTAAACCTACATTGACATATCATTATCACCCAAAGCCCATAGTTTACATTAGGGATCACTCTTGGTGTTAAATATTCTACGGGTTTCTATGACTTTATAATGAGTTGGATTCACTGTTATAGTTTCATACAACATAGTTTAACTGCCCTAAAAATCCTTCATGTTTCACCAATTCATCCCTCTTATCACCTTAATCCTTGGCAAACACTGTTCTTTTTTACTGTCTCCACAATTTTACCTTTTCCAGAATGCCATATCGTTGGAATCATTCAGTATGTAGCTTTTTCAGATTGGCTTCTTTCACTTAGCAATATGCACTTAAATTTTCTCCGTGTCTTTTTATGGCTTGATAGCTTATATCTTTGTCACTGAATAATATTCCATTGTCTGGATGTATTACACTTTATTTACCCAGTCACCTACTGAAAAATATCTTGGTTGCTTTCAAGTTTGGACAATTGTGAATACAGCTACTATCAATGTTCAAATAAAGGTTTTTGTGTGACCATAAGTTTTTAATTCACTTAGATAAATACCAGAGAGAGTGATTGCTGGATCATACACTAAATTATGTTTAATTTTATAAGAAACTATCAAACTGTCAAAGTGGCTGTACCATTTTGAATTCCCAGAAGCAATGAGTAATAGTTCCCGTTGCTTCACATCCTTGTCTGCATTCGATATGGTTAATGTTTTCGATTTTGGCCTTAATAATAGGTGTATAGTGATATCATGGCGTTGTTTTAACTTACACTTCCTTAACAAATAGTATTAAGCATTTTTAAACATGCTAATTTGCCATCTGTATATCTTCTTTGGTGAGATGTCTGTTCAGGTCTTTTGTCCATTTTTAGAATTAGGTTGTTCATTTTCTTATTGTTGAGTTTTAAGAGGTTTTTGTATAGATATGTTTTTGCAAATATTGTCTCCTAGTCTGTAGCTTATCTTTTCATTCCCATGATTAATTTTTTGTTTTTTTCTTTCATTGATTTCTGGTAGACTTCCTAATTTGCTTCTGTTTTATTAATTATAATTTTAATTTTCTTATCTTTTTCTAACTCCTATGGTGAAGATTTTGATAACTTATTTTAAGCCATTTTTCTTATTAATACAAAAATTTATAGATATAAAACTTTGTAAAGAACTACTTTAGATGCTTCTCAATAGTAGTGATATGACATAATTACATTATAATTAAATTTATAATATTTTTTATTCTCTTGTGATTTCTTCTTTGACTGTTGTTTGTTTGGAAGTGTAGTATTTAGCTTCCAAATATTTTCAGCTTATCTAGGTATTTCATTATACTTTGTTTCATTGTAATCCGGTTATTTACTCTACAAGATATCAAGCATTTGAAAATCTTTGGCCTTGTGTCCCTGCTCAACATGTGTCTCTCAACACAGTTTCAATTTTTTTATTTTAAAATATTTAATTGACCAATGAAAATTGTACATTTTCAAGGTATATAGCATAAAGATATGATATATATATATATAGTGTACTGATTACCACAGTCAAATTAATTAACACACCCATCACTACCCATAGTTACCACTGTGTGGGGGTTAGGGTTGGTGAGGACACTTAAAATCTGCTCTCTTATCAAATTTTGAGTAAACAATACAGCATCATTAACTATAGTCACCATTCTGTGCATTCAATCCCCAGAACTTAATTCATTTTATAACTGGAAGTTTGTACCCTTTGACCAACATCTCTCCATTTCTTCTACCCCCCAGCCTCTGACAACCACCGTTCTACTCTCTGCTTCTGTCAGTTTGACTTTTTAGCGTCCAAATAGAACCCGTCTTTCATACAGTAAATATCATCCAGTACTCACCTTTCTGTGTCTGGTTTATTTCACTTAGCATAATGGGCTCCAGAGCAATCGATGCCATCACAAATTTCCTTCTTTTTTATGGCTAAATACTGTGTGTGTGTGTGTGTGTGTGTGTGTGTGTGTGCGTGTGTGTGTGTGTGTGTTTTATCCATCAATAGAGACTTAGGTTGTTTTCAAATCTTGGCTATTGTGAATAATGCTGTGATGAATATAGGGGTACAACTATCTCTTTGAGACACTGCTGATTTCATTACTTTGGAATATGTACCCAGAAGTGGGATTGCCAGATCATGTGGTATTGCTATTTTTAATTTTTTTGAAGAATTTCCATGTTGCTTTCCATAAAGGTTGTAACAATACACATTCCCAGCAACAGTGTATAGGGTTTCCTTTTCTTCACACCGCTGCTACCACTTGTTATCTCTTGTCTTGTTGATAATAGCCATCTTAAGAAGTGTGAGTCCTATCTCATTATGGTTTTGATTTACATTTCTCTGATTATCAGTGATGTTGATCATTTTTTCATCTATCCATTGGTCATTAGTATGTCTTTGAAAAAATGTCTGTTCAGTTCCTTTGCCCAGTTTTTCACTGGGTTAACTTTTCTGCTATTGAGATGAGCTCCTTATATATCTTATATATCATATATTTATATATGTATACATGATACTGCTTATCAGATATATGATTTGCAAGTATTTTCTCCCATTTTGTAGATTGCCTTTTCATTTTGTCGACTGTTTCCTACACTGTGCAGAAGATTCTTAGTTTGATATAATCCCACCTGCTTAATTTTGCTTTTGTTGCCTGTGCCCTTGGTATCAGATCCAAAAAATCATTGCTAAGACCAATGTCATGGAGCTTTTCTCCTATGTTTTCTTCTAGGCATTTTATGGTTTCAGGTGTTACACTTAACTCTTTAATCCATTGAGTTGACTTTTGTATATGGTGTCAGATAAGAGTCTAATTTCATTCTTCTGCATGTGGATATCCAATTTTTACAACACAGTTTATTGAAGAAACTGTTGTTCCCTCACTGTGTATTCTGTAATCAAAGATTAGTAGACAACATAGGCATGGGTTTATTTCTGGACTATCTTCTGTTTTATTGATCAATTAGTCATTAAGTCAGTACCACACTGTTTTGATTACTATAGCTTTGTAATATAATAAAATCACAGAGTGTGATGCCTCCAGCTTTGTTCTTCTTTCTCCAGATTGCTTTGGCTATTCAGGGTCTGACACTATTTTTTAAAAGACTATTCTTTCCCTATTGAATTGTCTTGGCATCCTTGTTGAAAATCAATCATGAACACATAACTGAAAGAGATACAGACACACAGACACACACACAATATGAAAGGGAGAAAACAAACAGAAACAGGAAAGAGTAAAAGAGCAAAAAGTTTTGAGTACAAAAAGTTTTTAGTTCAAAATTTATGTACTAAATTTTGCAGCTGGTCACTTATGCTGTGGGACTGTAGAACCCTAATATATAATAAAAAATTCTAAACTCAAATATTAAACATTTCAAGTCTATTGGACTACTTATATTTTACCTTAATCATTTGTTAGTTTCAATATTTGGTTACTGACTGCAAATTAGTCAAAAGTAATATACCCTGTTGGGTGCGGTGGCTCACGCCTATAATCCCAGTGCTTTAGGAGGCCAAGGCGGGGAGATTACTTGAGGTCAGGAGTTCGAGACCAGCCTGGCCAGATTGTGAAACCCCATCCCTACTAAAAATACAAAAATTAGCCGGGTGTGGTTGCATCCAACTGTAATCCCAGCTGCTCAGAAGGCTGAGGCAGGAGAATCTCTTGAACCGGGAGGCTGAGGCGGCCGAGATCGTGCCACTGCATTACAGCCTGGGTAAAAGAGCAAGACTCCATGTAAAAAAAAAAAAAAAAAAAAAAGGCCAGGCATACTGGCTCACGCCTGTAATCCCAGCACTTTGAGAGGCCGATGTGGGCGGATTACGAGGTCAGGAGATCCAGACCATCCTGGCCAACACGGTGAAACTCCATCTCTACTAAAAATACAAAAAATTACCCGGGTGTGGTGGCGGGCGCTTGTAATCCCAGCTACTCAGGAGGCTGAGGCAGGAGAATGGCATGAACCCAGGAGTCGGAGGTTGCAGTGAGCCAAAATAGCACCACTGCACTCCAGCCTGGTGACAGAGCGAGACTACATTTCAAAAAAAAAAAAAGAGTAATGTAGCCTAATAGCCTAACAATGTGCTCACGTGAAGAATGTCTGAGTTCAAAAAATACTCTCTTTGCCACTTCCTAGCAGTGTAACTTCTGACTAGTTAGGTAAGTTTAGTTAGCCTCAATAAAAGATCTTTAAAATGGAGATATTATGCTCATCAATTGATCTGAGATATGGTATAAAAATGAAAATACATAAAAATAGAATATTATCATGTATACAGTAGATACTCCATAAAATCATGTATCTTTAAAGAGTAGGTTAATTAAACTGCTGGATTGGACCTCTTCTTCATAAAAATTTTATCCGCTGATTTTAGATTCTATTTTAAATTTATAACTCCATTATTCTTTATATAGTTTTACATTCTACTGTAAAGAAAAACTTCCCCTTCTTTCCTGTTTATGTATTTACATCAGAATAGACTCATGGGTCTTTAAGCAGCTTTACTGAGATATAATTAATAAACCTTATAATTTACCCACTTTCAAGTGTGCAGCTCAATGGTTTTTACATTTATAGAGTAGTGCAAATGTCACCACAGTCTAATTTTAGAACCACATCCACAAAAGGATTCCGTACCCACTGGCTGTCACTCCTCATGCCTACTCCCAATCCTATCCCCCAGAAATCACTAATCTACTTTTTGTCTCTCGATTTGCCTATTCTTGGTATTTCATATGAATGAAATCATACAATATGTGCCCTTTTGTAATAGGCTTCTTTCATTTAGAACAATGTTTTCAAGAGTTATCCAGGTTGCAGCATGTATTCATACTACATTCCTTTTAATTGCCAAATAACATTCTGTTGTGAGGATTTATCACATTTTATTTATTCACTCATCAGTTAACGGATATTTAGGTTGTTTCCACCTTTTGGCTGTTACGAATAATGCTGCTATGAATAATTGTGACACATTTTTGTGTGAACATATGTTTCCAATTCTCTTGGCTCTATGCCTAGGAGTGGAATGGCTGGGTTATATGATTACACTATGGTTAACTTTCTGAGGAACTGCCAGTTTTTCACAGTGCCTAGCAGGCACTAGCAGGTTTTACATTCCCACTAGCAGGTTTGAGGGTATTAATTTCTCTATGATCTAATCAGCACCTGTTATCGTTTTAAAATCATAACCATTCTTGTGGGCCTAAGTGGTATCTAATCGTGGTTTTGATTTGCATTTTCCTATAGCTAATGATGTTGAGCATCTTTTCATGTGCTCTTTGTATATCATTTACATTTGTTTATTTTATCAACTTTATCAAATTTATACCATTCAAATTTACATCACTCAAGTGTGAAGGGGAGTGTCTTAGTCCATTTCTGCTGCTATTACAAAATAACTGATACTGGGTAATTTGTAAAGACCAGAAATGTATTTCTCACAGGTCTGTAGGTTGGGAGTCCAAGATCAAGGTGCTGGCTGGTGAGGGCCCAGTCTCTCCACTACCAAGATGGTACCTTGTTGCTGCATCTTCCAGAGAGGAGGACTGCTGTGTCCTCACATGGCAGAAGGCAGAAGGGCAAGAAAGGCAAAATATTGCATGACTTCTCTTTTACGAGGGCCTTACTCCCATTCACAAAGGAAGAGTCCTCATGACCTAATCACTTCTTAAAGGCCCCACCTCTTAATACTGTCACAGTAGCCATTACGTTTCAACACAAATTTTGGAACAGACACCATCATTCAAACCGTAGCAGGGGATTAAAGTGGTAAATCAGTAAGGAGGAAATTGTATTTGAAAAACCCTTTGAACCTGCCCACCCTTTCCATAATAAGGAGTCTGCTGGCAGTTGCTAGTCTAACTGAATCCAAATAGAAACCCAGCAAATAAATGGACAACTCCCAAAGTACTTAAATAATAGGAAGAACAAATTGTTGGGATATACAGAAGAGTAAAACACTACATTGATTTAAGGAGCTACCAGGATGCCACAATGTAACTTCATAAAGGCAGAACAACAGAAATATTTCCCCAAACAGTACCTATGCGTCTTGTACTGCTCTGCCCTTCTGTCATGAAATTGGCCTCACAGAAAGCATCATGAAGCCATGTAAATTTTCATGTAATAAAAGCAAAAACTTTATATTTCCCAGGGCTATTTGTGTCATTAACCTTGTCCTTAATTAATTTGGGAAAGATTTTGCTCAAGAGAAGAAAGATCCAGGTATAAGTGTGTAGGGGGCAAAGGGCTTTTCTAGTGCTCCAATCTCATTCTAAATGACAGCTGTCTTCCTCTGTACATGTGGGTGGTTCTGATTTAGAATAGCTCCTTCACAGCTTTTGCCCCCATAGCTGCATGTGTGGATTGCTATGGTTTGAATATGCCTTCCAAATTTCATGTGTTGGAAACTTTATTCAAAATTTATATGTTGATTGGAGGTGGGATAATGGAGAAGTAATTAGGATTAGATAAGATTCTTCAGGGTGGGGCCCCCATGATGGGACTGTTGGCTTTATAAGAAGAAACATCAAGGCCTGGGCTGACACACATGCTCTTGCCCTCTTGCCGTGTGATGCCCTCCACCCTGTTATGATGCAGCAAGAAGGTCCTCACCAGATGCTGGTATCATGCTCTTGGAATTCTCAGCTTTCAAAACTGTAAGAAATAAATTTCTTTTCTTTATAAATTACCCAGTCTCAGGTATAGCAATAGAAAATGGAGTAAGACATGGATACATATACATTTTATCATAATTCTGGAAACATGGGAGGATGCCAACAGTTTATAGTTGAGTGTTCAAATATAAACTGGTATAATATTTATGGTTTCAGCATTAGTACTAAATTCACATTGGTATACTAGAAATTATTCAACTCTATTATCCTCTTAGGTATATTGAGGAGGAAGAGAATATTCTGTTCTTCAAGTCAGACTTTTTGAAGAAAGGAAAAAATTACTGCTTCTCCCCCAGTTAACTTTCATAAAGCAAAACCCCAAAAAATATAGTTTGAAGAATTCATTTTTCATGTTGTGGGTTCACTTTGGACTCCATCCAAACCCTGTCCCCACTCATCAGCTCTAAGACAGCAGTCCCTGAACCTGTTCATGTCCATTCTAAGCCTCAGCCTCCTTCTGCATAACTTGAGTGCCTTTCTTCATGAGTATCACCTTCACAGGATGCTTGTGTGTTTCAACATCAAAACAAAACTGGTGGATTCCAGGAACAGCATAAAGACTCCAGTGTTCAGATCAAAGTGGCCTTAATGGTTGTGCAGGGCTTCCTTTAAGGCAAGGGGCTGCAAGGGGCCTGGGAAGATATCACTCAGCTTCATGACAAAGGAAAACTTTTGTGTGTATGGACACTGCTCAATATCTTTTGGAAACTCATTTGGCCCTGGTGATCCTAGTGATGCAGGCCTTCCTAAATCATAAAATAAATAAAAGTGATGTATTAGTCTGTTTTTACATTGCTATAAAGATACTACCTAAGACCGGGTAATTTACAAACAAAAGAGGTTTAAATGACTCACAGTTCCACATGGCTGGGAGGCTTCAGGAATCTCGCAATCATGGCGGAAAGTGAAGGAGAAGCAAGGTACCTTCTTCACAAGGTAGCAGCAGGAGACAGAGAGAGTGAAGCTGGAAGAGCCACACACTTTTCAAGCACAGATCTTGTGAGAACTCACTGACTACCACGAGAACAGCATGAAGGAATACTGCCCCTACGATCCAATCACCTCCCATCAGGCCCCTCCCTCGACACATGGGAATTACAATTTGAGAAGAGATTTGGGTGGGGATGCAGAGTCAAACCATATCAAGTGAGACGGGGTGATTCTGAGTTGATCCTTTTCACACGAAGTGGTTTCCTACACCATCCCACATCCACCCATTCCAAGCAACCTCTAGTCATCTGTTAAGACTCAACTCAAATATTTCTTCTTTATCTACTTTAGACTGAGATTTTTTTTTCTTTATCCTCTAAGATATGGGAATCACAGCATTATGTGCTAACACTGATCATAGTCCTTGTCATAGGAGTTTTGAACCTTGAATTAATTCTATATTTTCTCTCTTTTTATGTTACTTGAGGCAGGAGATACAAAGTCTGCATCTAGATTTAGAGGGTAGATTTTGACATTGAACTGATATGCCATGCATGTTTGTTAAATGAATAATTAAAAGAATAAATGTTCTCTCTAATATATTAAATATCCATATCTATTGTTTTATTTAATAAGGCACTATAATCTTTCTTCATAAATTATAATTTTTTATTATTATATTTTAAGTTCTGGGGTACATGTGCAGAACGTGCAGGTTTGTTACATACGTATACACGTGCCATGGGGGTTTGCTGCACCCATCAACCCATCATCTACATTAGGTATTTCTCCTAATGCTATCCCTCCCCTAGTCCCCCAGCCCCGACAGGCCCAGTGTGTGATGTTCCTCTCCCTGTGTCCGTGTGTTCTCATTGTTCAACTCCCACTTACAAGTGAGAACATGCGATGATTGGTTTTCTTTCCTTGTGTTAGTTTGCTGAGAATGACAGTTTCCAGCTTCATCCATGTTCCTGCAAAGGACATGAACTCATCCTTTTTTATGGCTGCATAGTATTCCATGGTGTATGTGTGCCACATTTTCTTTATCCAGTCTATCACTAATGGACGTTAGGGTTAGTTCCAAGTTTTTGCTATTGTGAACAGTGCCACAATAAACATACATGTACATGTGTCTTTATAGTAGAATGATTTATAATCCTTTGGGTATATATCCAGTAATGAGATTGCTGGATCAAATGCTATTTCTAATTCTAGATCCTTGAGGAATCGCCACACTGTCTTCCACAATGGTTGAACTAATTTATGCTCCCATCAACAGTGTAAAAGTATTCCTATTTCTCCACTTCCTCTCCAGCATCTGTTGTTTCCTGACCTTTTAATGATTGCCATTCTAACTGGAGTGAGGTGGTATCTCATTATGATTTTGATTTGCATTTCTCTAATGACCAGTGATGATGAGCATTTTGTCATAAGTTTGTTGGCTGCATAAATGCCTTCTTTTGAAAAGTCTCTATTCATATCCTTTGCCCACTTTTTGATGGGGTTGTTTGGTTTTTTTTCTTGTAAATTTGTTTAAATTCTTTGCAGATTCTGGATATTAGCCCTTTGTCATATGGATAGAGTGCAAAAATTTTCTCCCATTCTGTAGGTTGCCTGTTCACTCTGGTGATAGTTTCTTTTGCTGTGCAGAAGCTCTTTAGCTTCATTAGATCCCATTTGTCAATTTTGACTTTTGTTGCCATTGCTTTTGGTCTTTTGGTCATGAAGTCTTTGCCCATGCCTATGTCCTGAATGATATTGCCTAGGTTTTCATCTAGGGTTTTTATGGTTTTAGGTCTTACATTTAAGTCTTTCATCCATCTTGAGTTAGTTTTTGTATAAGGTGTAAGGAAGGGGTCCATTTTCAGTTTTCTGCATATGACTAGTCAGTTTTCCCAGCATCATTTATTAAATAGGGAATCCTTTCCCCATTGCTTGTTTTTGTCAGGTTGGTCAAAGATCAGATGGTTGTAGATGTGTGGTGTTATTTCTGCAGCCTCTGTTCTGTTCCATTGGTCTATGTATCTGTT
Source organism: Homo sapiens (assembly GCF_000001405.40). Lineage (NCBI taxonomy): Eukaryota > Metazoa > Chordata > Mammalia > Primates > Hominidae > Homo > Homo sapiens. Next base: position 33,175,948 of record NC_000022.11, on the reverse strand, counting down.
TTGGTACCAGTACCATGCTGTTTTGGTTACTGTAGCCCTGTAGTATAGTTTGAAGTCAGGTAGTGTGATGCCTCCAGCTTTGTTCTTTTTGCTTAGGATTGTCTTGGTAATGCGGGCTCTTTTTTGGTTTATTTGAAATTTAAAGTAGTTTTTTCCAATTCTGTGAAAAAAGTCAATGGTAACTTGATGGGGATAGCATTGAATCTATATATTACTTTGGGCAGTATGGCTATTTTCACGATATTGATTCTTCCTATCCATGAGCATGGAATGTTCTTCCGTTTGTTTGTGTTCTCTTTTATTTCATTGAGCAGTGGTTTGTAGTTCTCCTTGAAGAGGTCCTTCACATCCCTTTTAAGTTCTATTCCTAGGAATTTATTCTCTTTGTAGCAATTGTGAATGGGAGTTCACTCATGATTTGGCTCTCTGCTTGTCTGCTATTGGTGTATAGGAATGCTTGTGATTTTTGCACATTGATTTTGTATCCTGAGACTTTGCTGAAGTTGCTTATCAGCTTAAGGAGATTTTGGGCTGAGATGATGGGGTTTTCTAAGTATATAATCATGTCATCTGCAAACAGAGACAATTTGAGTTCCTCTTTTCCTATTTGAATACCCTTTATTTCTTTCTCTCTCCCTTCCCTTCCCTTCCCTTCCATCCTGGCCAGAACTTCCAATACTATATTGAATAGGAGTGGTGAGAGAGGGCATCCTTGTCTTGTGCCAGTTTTCAAAGGGAATGCTTCCAGTTTTTGCCCATTGATTTGTGGATGTTGAACCAGCTTTGCATCCCAGGGGTGAAGCCGACTTGATCATGGTGGATTAGCTTTTTGATGTGCTGCTGGATTCGGTTTGCCAGTATTTTATTGAGGATTTTCACATCGATGTTCCTCAGGGATATTGGCCTGAAATTTTCTTTTTTTGTTGTGTCTCTGCCAGGTTTTGGTATCAGGATGATGTTGGCCTCATAAAATGAGTTAGGGAGGATTCCCTCTTTTTCTATTGTTTGGAATAGCTTTAGAAGGAATGGTACCAGCTCCTCTTTGTACCTCTGGTACAATTCAGCTGTGAATCCGGACATTTTTTGGTTGGTAGGCTATTCATTACGGCCCCAATTTCAGAACTTGCTATTAGTCTATTCAGGGATTCAACTTCTTCCTGGTTTAGTCTTGGGAGGGTGTATGTGTCCAGGAATTTATCCATTTCTCCTAGATTTTGTAGTTTACTTGCGTAGAGGTGTTTATAGTATTCTCTGATGGTAGTTTGCATTTCTATGGGATCCGTGGTGATATTCCCTTTCTCATTTTTATTGTGTCTATTTGATTCTTCTCTCTTTCCTTCTTTATTAGTCTGGCTAATGGTCAATCTATTTTGTTGTTGATCTTTTCAAAAAAGCAGCTGCTGGATTCATTGATTTTTTGAAGGGTTTTTCATGCCTCTATCTCCTTTGGTTCTGCTCTGATCTTAATTATTTCTTGTCTTCTGCTAGCTTTTGAATTTGTTTGCTCTTGCTTCTCTAGTTCTTTTAACTGTGATATTAGGATGTCGATTTTAGATCTTTCCTGCTCTCTCATGTGGGCATTTAGTGCTATAAATTTACCTCTACACACTGCTTTAAATGTCTCAGAGATTCTGGTATGTTGTGTCTTTGTTCTCATTGGTTTCAAAGAACATCTTTATTTCTGCCTTTATTTCATTATTTACCCAGTAGTTATTCAAGAGCAGGTTGTTCAGTTTTCATGTAGTTGTGTGGTTTTGGGTGAGTTTCTTAATCCTGAGTTCTAATTTGATTGCACTGTGGTCAGAGAGCCTGTTTGTTATGATTTCCGTTCTTCTGCATTTGCTAAGGAGTATTTTACTACCAATTATGTGGTCAATTTTAGAATAAGTGCATTGTGGTGCTGAGAAGAATCTATATTCTGTTGATTTGGGGTGGAGAGTTGTCTAGATGTCTATTAGGTCCAGTTGGTCCAGAGCTGAGTTCATGTCCTGAATATTCATGTTGATCTTCTGTCTCATTGATCTGTCTAATATTGACAGTGGGGTGTTAAAATCTCCCATTATTATTGTGTGGGAGTCTAAGTTTCTTTGTAGGCCTCTAAGAACTTGCTTTATGAATCTGGGTGCTCTTGTATTGGGTGCATATATATTTAGGATAGTTAGCTCTTCTTGTTGCATTGATCCCTTTACCATTATGTAATGGCCTTCTGTGTCTCTTTTGATATTTGTTGGTTTAAAGTCTGTTTTATCAGAGACTAGGATTGCAACCCCTGCTTTTTTTTTTTCTTTCTATTTGCTCAGTAAATCTTCCTCCTTCCCTTTATTTTGAGCTTATATGTGTCTTTGCATGTGAGATGGGTCTCCTGAATACAGCATGATGAGTCTTCACTCTTTATCTAATTTGGTCATCTGTGTCTTTTAATTGGGGCATTTAGTCCATTTACATTTAAGGTTAATATTGCTATGTGTGAATTTGATCTTGTCATTGTGGTATTTTGCCTGCTAGTTGATGCAGTTTCTTCATAGTGTCGATGATCTTTACAATTTGGTCTGTTTTTGCAGTGGCTGGTACCGTTTATTGCTTTTCATGTTTAATGCTTCCTTCAGGAGCTTTTGTAAGGCAGGCTTGGTGGTGACAATCTCTCAGCATTTGCTTGTCTGTATTTTATTTCTCCTTTGCTTATGAAGCTTAGTTTCGTTCTATATGAAATTCTGGGTTGAAAATTCTTTCCTTTAAGAATGTTGAATATTGGCCCTCACTCTCTTCTGGCTTGTAGGGTTTCTGCAGAGAGATCTGCTGTTAATCGAATGGGCTTCTCTTTGTGGGCAACCCGACCTTTCTCTCTGGGTGCCTTTAACATTTTTTCCTTCATTCCAACCTTGGTGAATCTGATGATTATGTGTCTTGGGGTTGCTCTTCTCGAGGAATATCTTTATGGTGTTTTCTGTGTTTCCTGAATTTGAATGTTGGCCTGTATTGCTAGGTTGGGGAAATTCTCCTGGATAATACCCTGATGTGTGTTTTCCAACTTGGTTCCATTCTCCCTGTCACTTTCAGGCACACCAATCAAATGTAGATTTGGTCTTTTCACATAGCCCCGTATTTCTTGGAGGCTTTGTTCATTTCTTTTTACTCTTTTTTCTCTAATCTTGTCTTCTCACTTTATTTCATTATGTTGATCTTCAATCTCTGATATCCTCTCTTCCACTTGATCAATTTGACTATTGATACTTGTGTATGCTTCATGAAGTTCTCGAATAGAGCACTATAATCTTATCACATGATACTTAGCACATTATTCTTAGGAGGTGAAATATACTAGAGTAATTAGAGTTCCTAGGATAGGGGTGGAGAATTCACATCATAGACAATATCCAGAAAAAATTCTATTGCAGAGAAATTTGGGGAAGCCTCAGGAAGCTTACAATCATGAAGGAAGGGGAAGGGGAAGCAAGTACCTTCTTCACAAGGCAGCAGTAGAGAGAGAGAGAGAGAGAGTGAGCAGGGGAAACTTTCACTTTTTAACCATAATATCTCATGAGATCTTCCTCACTGTCACGAGAACAGCATGGGAGAAACCACCATTTCAAAACCAATCATGCCTTCCCAACAGTCCCTCAAAGTCTTAACTCATTCCAGCATTAACTCAAAAGTCCAAGTCCAAAGTCTCATCTGAGACAAAGCAAGTCCCTATGAGCCTGTAAAATAAAAAGCAAGTTAGTTACTTCCAAGATACAATGGGGGTACAGGCATTGGTAAATATTCCCATTCTAAATGGGAGAAATTGGCCAAAACAAAGGGGCCACAGGCCCCATGCAAGTCTGAAACCCAGCAGGGCATTCTTTAAATCTTAGAGCTTCAATACAATCTCCTTTGATTCCATGTCTCACATCCAGGGCAGGCTGATGCAAGAGGTGGGTTTCCATGGTCTTGGGCACCTATGCCCCTGTGGCTCTGCAGGGTACAGCCCCTGTGGATGCTTTCACAGGCTGGCATTGAGTGCCTGTGGTGTTTCCAGGTGTATGGTGCCTCTGTCAGTGGATCTACCTTTCTGGGGTCTGGAGGACAATGGTCCTCTTCTCACTAGGCAGTGCCCCAGTGGGGACTCTGTGTGGGGACTCCAACCCCACATTTCCCTTCCTCACTGCCTAGCAAATGTTCTCCATGAGGGCTCTACCCTTGCAGCCAGCTTCTGCCTGGATATCCAGGCATTTCCTTACATCCTCTGAAATCTAGGTGGACATTCCCAAACCTCAGCTCTTATCTTCTGCGCACTCTCAGGCCTATCACCACGTGGAAGCTGCCAAGGCTTGGGGCTTGCATCCTCTGAATCAATGGCATGAGCTGTACTTTGGCCCTTTTAGCCACAGCTGGAGCTGGAGTGGCTGGGATGCAGGGCACCAAGTCTGGAAGCTACACAGAGCAGTGGGGCCCTGGGTGCAGCCCACAAAACCACTTTTCCCTCCTAGGCATCTAGGCCTGTGATGGGAGGGGCTGCTGTGAAGGTCTCTGACATGCCCTGGAGACATTTTCCTCATTGTCTTGGCTATTAACATTCAGTTCCTCATTATTTATGCAAGTTTCTGCAGTAGGCTTGAATTTCTCCACAGAAAATGGGTTTTTGTCTTCCACCACATGATCAGGCTGCAAATTTTCCAAACCTTTATGCTCTACTTCCCTTTTAAACATAAGTTCCAATTTCAAACCATCTCTTCGTGAACCCATATGACTGAATGCTTTCAGAAAAAGCCAGGTCACATCTTGAATGCTTTGCTGCTTAGAAATTTCTTCTACCAGACACCCTAAATTATCTCACTCAAGTTTAAAGTTCCACAGATCTCTACGGCAGGGGCAAAATCCTGCCAGTTGCTTTACTAAAGCATAGCAAGAGTGACCTTTGCTCCAGTTCCCAAAAACTTCCTTATCTCCATCTGAGACCACCTCAGCCTGGACTTTATCGTCCATATCACTATCAGCATTTTGGTCAAAACCATCCAACAAGTCTCTAGGAAGTTCCAAACTTTCCCACATCTTCCTGTCTTCTTCTGAGCCCTCCTAACTGTTCCAACCGCTGTCTGTTACCCAGTTCCAAAGTTGCTTCCACATTTTCAGGTTACCTTTATAGCAGTACCCACTTTATAGCAGTACCACTGATGGTACCAATTCTCTGTATTAGTCCATTCTCACACTGTTATAAAGATACCAAGATGGGGTAATTTTTAAAGGAAAGAGATTTAATTGACTCACAGTTCTGCATGATTGGGGAGGCCTCAGGAAACTCACACTCATGGCAGAAGGCAAAGGGGAAGCAAGTACCTTCTTCCCAAGGGGGCAGGAGAGAAAGAGTGCAGAGGAAACTACAACTTTTAAACCATCAGATCTTATGATATCTCCCTCATTGTCACGAGAACAGCATCGGGGAAACCACTCCAATGATCCAATCACCTCCCACCAGTCTCTCCTCCGACACATGGGGATTACAATTCCAGATGAGATTTGGGTAGGGACACAAGCCAAACCATATCAAGCTAGCTCTATGAGGTCTCCTTTATTTATTTTTATATTTATTTATTTATTTTTGAGATGGAGTCTTGCTTTGTCATCCAGGCCAGGGTGCAGTGGCATGATCTCGGCTCACTATAACCTCCATCTCCTGGGTTCAAGCGATTCTCCTGCCTCAGCCTCCTGAGTAGCTGGGATTACAGATGTGCACCACCATGCCTGACTAATTTTTGTATTTTGAGTAGAGATGGGGATTCATCATGTTGGCCAGGCTGGTCTAGAACTCCTGACCTCAAGTGATCCTCCCACCTCGGCATCCCAAAGTGCTGGCATGTGTCACCAGCCCAGGGCAATAATCTCATTTATGAGGGCTGCCCTCATGATCTAATCACCCCAGAAGACTCCACCTGCTAATACCATCATGTTGGAGCTTAGGTTTCAACACATACATTTAAGGGGGACACAAATATTTGGACCATAGCAAGTTCCTTAGCAGTAACTTGAATAGATAGATATCTAGGTATCTAAAGGTTAAAAGGATTTCCCTGGTGTCTCAGTGCTATGTAAAACCTCAGGACTTTTTTTTTTCCTTTTTTGAGAGAGAGTCTTGCTCTATCACCCAGGCTGGAGTGCATTGGCAAGATCTTGGCTCACTGCAACCTCCGCCTCCCAGGTTCAAGCAATTCTCCTGCCTCAGCCACCCTAATAGCTGGGACTACAGGCACGTGCCACCACACCCAGCTAATTTTTTGTATTTTTCGTAGAGGCGGGGTTTCACCATGTTAGCCAGTATGATCTCAATCTCCTGACCTCATGATCCGCCCGCCTCAGCCTCCCAAAGTGCTGGGATTACAGTTGTGAGCCACTGCGCCCAGCCCCTCAGGACATTTTTATGACTCTGGGTTATCTATTACTGAGGTTCAATTATTCACTTTTGTTCATTAAGTTTTGAAGCTTAAAGGTAAAACTTAGCTGACTAAAACAAGAAAATATATGATTTATAGCCTGAAAGTCATGTCTGGTATATGCATGTTAATTTGGCTCCCTTCTTTGTGGACTTGACTCTAGTTGCAACCCACATCAAGCACAAATTCTTAGCAAGACTTTCCCATAACAAGAAGCACTGTCTCCAAGCAGAATTTTAGGGCCCACATGGGAAGATGATGAAATGTTTTACTACCTCATTATACGTAAGACCTAATTCAATCCTTATTTTACCAAGACAATATATATCATCAATTACATATGACTTTGTAACAGGACAGATTTTTAAAATCTTTATCATATCTTATACAAAAGCAAATGATAACTGTTTGACACTCCTGCTTTCAAAAATATTCTGGAAATGGAGTCATTGCTCACATGCTCTGGGTTGCTTCCTAGGCATTTATAGTCCAGTGGTGGGTCAAGCAATTTTATTCTTATCTTTGACAATCATCAGTGTGCTATTTGGCCTTGCACTGTAGGCCAAGTGCTGGTTTACAGGAAAAGACCCAGGGATTATTTACTGTTGAATTATAGTTCTTCTGCTTTACTATGTTCAATGCTGCTCCACTACTCCAACTCAGAATTAAATTCTAATATCTTCTTGTAAAACAGTCTTCTTCTTATACACTTGTATATTTGATGTAGATATTAAAGGAGACATTTGAACTAGACCTTAGGAAATGGATGAGTTCATCAAAGATCAGGAACATAAGAATTCCAGGCAGAAAGAACAAAATAAGGGTAATGGGAAAAAACTTGGAATGTTATGTAAATAGTTTGCTTTGTATGAAATATATAGTAGATATTTTCCTTATAAGGTTGTTATGAGGATTAAAAGAGATGGCATGCATGTTAAACAGTAACTAACATTAATTAGCATTTCATGCTTTATGTTTATTAGACCGTTTTGAATATGTAGCACTTAATCTTAGTTTCTTCCTGCACATTTTTCTCATTGGAAATTGCCTCCAATTCTAGACTTTTTGATCTGCATTTGACTTCTGGTACTGAAAATGGTTTGTGATAACTCCTAACCTGTGGTTCAGCACAAGGAATACATCTTCAAATAGAAGTCAGGGTAGGAGGTAGCATGGCCTCTTTACTTTGGCCTTATATATACAGCTACTCCTAGAACAGACATGCTGGAAGGAAAATCTAAAAAATGGCCTAGGAATTATAGTCTATAATCCTATCCACGCTGAGATCCAGAGCCAGTAAGAATGGGTGAATCTACCTTGTGGTTAAATATTAATCTTGTTGCTGGCAGCTGGTTGTACCAGGGGTAAATATCTGAAGAGGCAATATTGTACTGTTTACTTAAGGCCTTGATAGGGTGATCAGAGACGGGTCCAAGCCTTAGACCCCACAGCTAGGCGTGCCAGAAAGAACTCCTGGAGAAAGTTCACCCACTAAAAGGAAAAAGACTTTTGTCTTAAGAATGGCTGGTAGGAGGCTGACCCAGGTTGTGAGAGGGGCAGTTTCCTGCTTCAAATATTTGCAGGAGGGTGGGTGGAAAGCATCATTTTGTTAATTGGGGTATGCAGATCCTGGTGCCAACAATTTGTTTTTTCTGACATTATCTCCTGAGGCTACTGCTCTAGGGGAGAGAATGAACAAACAGAGTAAATGCCAGCCAGAGTAAGGTTGCTTCTTGTAGGTTGCTGTACTCCAAGGCTTAGCTGGAAATGAAAAGCAAAAGCCAAGGGCAGAGCTTGGAGAAATGAGTAGATGACAATTAACTAATCAAAAACACTATGGTTAAGAACTCGGATTCTTGGGAAACCTGGGATTAGAATCCTGTCTCAGGCTTTTAACTAGCAATCTGGTTGGGAATAAGTAGGATTACTTCTTTGAATCTCGAATTATTAATCTGTAAAATGCAACAGGAACCTTACCTGTTAGGAATAAATTGAAACATAGAATGGGTGAATGGATACTTAGTAGGCAACTAATAGGGTCTTATGGGTATTAAGCCATAGAAACTGCTCCTCCAAACCATACCCTTGCCCCTTGCTCTAACAGTGGCCAAAATATGCACTGTTCATCGAATGCAAAATATGCATTTAATAGTATGTATTCACAACTTCATGTGACTTTGAACAAATTTTCTTCATCTCTCTGGGATATGTGCTTTCCTAGCTGTACTGTAAGTTGTAAAATTGAAGTGATAGAAGGGGCTATAATTAAGACTTTTTTAGTATGGAGAAAAATGTTCAGACATAATCACAAAAAGGAATGAGAACTTTCCTGGTCCCCTCAGTTTCAAGTGGCAAGAGGCTTCCAATTAGATCTGATTTTCTGACATCCTCTCCTGGAAATTCCTAGGATATGGCAGAATACTGGAAATGTGATAGACTTTCAATAAGAAGTTGTTGACCAATTAATGGATTATTAATCTTTACTGCTTTTGGAATTACATTCACATTGATAAATTGGGTTACTCTTAATGTTATGCATGTAATGATCTTAGGGAAAAATATACTGGAGAAGGGGGAGTTTCGCTCTGAAATTTAGACCCACTTGAGGAATTGAAGTGTGTGGTTACTCTTAGCCAGTATCATTGCATAGAACAAATAACCACAGAACACACTTTGAATCAACCCTTTCTCATTCTCTTTTGCTTCTAGCTTTGATTTTAGCCAGACCCTATCTCCCATCATCAGCTGCAAGACGACAGTTCCAAACACATGCCTATAATTGTCCTCGGCGTTGGCTTCCTTCTCGAGGACTTGGGTACTGTTCTTCATGAGCCCTAATTTTACAGCATGTTGGAACGGCTCAACGTTGAAGCCAAAGTGGTACGTGCCAGGTGAACATCCTCACGGTAAGATTGAAGTGGTACATGCCAGGTGAACATCATCCCCGTGGTAAGATTGAAGTAGTACATGGCAGGTGAACATCCCTGTGGAAAGATTGAAGTGGTACATGCCAGGTGAACATCCCCGTGGTAACATTGAAGTGGTACATGCCAGGTGAACATCCCCGTGGTAAGATTGAAGTGGTAGGTGCAGATGAACATCCCCGTGGTAAGATTAAGGTGGTACGTGCCAGGTGAACATCCCTGTGGTAAGATTGAGGTGGTACATGCAGGGGAACATCCCCTTGGTAAGATTGAAGTGGCCTGATGATTACGCAACACTTCCTTGAAGACAACGGGCTGGGAGGGGCCTGGGATGGGATCCCTCAGCTTCACTGCAAAGGCAGACTTGAGTGGGGAAGGACTTCTCAATGTCTCCTGGAGTTCCAGGTGGCCCTAGGTATCCTGGATGGCGTGGGAGTCTTAAACACCAACGTAAACAGAAAGGGGATATTTGAAATTCATGCATTTCACAGTTTATTAATTTCTTTCCATTTTAACCCTCCTTACTAACATTCATTTACCCTTCAAGAATCATCATAAGCATCATTTTCCCAGGAAGTCCTTTCCTCTATGCCATCAGAATAGCAAAATCTAGTGTTTACTCTGGCCACAGCGTTTACCACACTGAATAATAATCTCTCCTCTATGTACCTGTTTTGTTTCCTTAAACAGGCCATAGCAGGTATTTTACTTGATTTTGTTCCTGAAGTGCTACCATACAGTGTCCAGCATAGAGTTGGTACTCTTGGTGTTTTTCTGAAGCAATGATGGAATAAATAGTTGCTTAGATTTTCAAATTCATCTCATATATTTGATCATATGATTTTATTATCACAAACAGCAGTTAAGGACTCGAAGGAAACATTGACCCAGGGAAGTCCAGGGATTGTATCATATCAGAGATAAAAGGGATGTTAGAGTGATGTTTTCCCAGCTGGGCTGTGTGATACAATCAGCTGTAGAGCCTGTGAATAACCCAGTGTCCTCGCTAATAATGCTGTGACCTTCTAAATCAGAATTTTGGGGGTTTGGATCTAAACCTGCATATTAGTAAAGGTCCCTAGATGATTTTGAAGTACAGGTAGATTTAAAAATCACAGATGAGGAATCAAACTGGTGAGTGGCTTCCCGTGAGGTTCAAATGGCACAGCATTTTCTCAGAACCTATGGGAGATCTCCTAATACTGTATCCAAGGTTGTTGTTGGTGACACCAAACTGCAGCAAATCCCTGGACTTGCAGCAAACTCACCAGTGCTCCAGTGTTAACAATGGGTGAGCACAGAGCAACTATGCCACTTTAAAGAGCACACCAATTTTAATGCTATCTCAACTATCATCAAGGTTTTTCCTTAATCATATAAACATCAAATTGTGGCTTCTTCAGGATCTATCCCCGAAGTTCTTCTGGGGTAAAATCAAAGCATCTATTCTTTTTATAATTTAAACTTTTATTTTAGATTCAGTGGTACACATGCAGATTTGTTACATGGGTTTATTGCACGATGCTGAGGTTTGGGATACGATTGGTCCCGTCACTCAGGTAGTGAGCATAGTATCCATAGTTAGTTTTTCCACCCTCCCTTCCTCCTGCCTCTAGTAGTCCCCGTTGTCTATAGTTGCCATCTTTTTGTCCATGAGTACCCAGTGTTTAGCTCCCACTTGTAAATGAGAATGTGCGGTATTTGGTTTTCTGTTCCTCAGCATATGTTTTAAGGACCTATGTGCTTACCTGTGCTTGGGATGAGAGTTCGTGGTAATTTTTTTTTTTTAATTCTTGTCTTGGCCGAGCGCAGTGGCTCACACCTGTAATACCAGCACTTTGGGAGGCCATGGCAGGTGGATCATCTGAGGTCAGGAGTTTGAGACAAGCCTGACCAACATGTGAAACCCTGTCTCTATTTAAAAATACGAAAATTAGCCAGGTGTGGTGTTGTGTGCCTGTAATCCCAGCTACTTGGGAGGCTGAGGCAGAAGAATCACTTGAACCTGGGAGGCAGAGGTTGCAGTGAGCTGAGATCGCGCCACTGCACTCCAGCCTGGGTGACAGAGCGAGACTCTGTCTCAAAAATAAAAATATACATAAAAATAAAAAAAAAAAACAAAATCTTACGTTGATTATTACTGCTTGTCAGAAACACCTGTATATTTTCACTGGTTTATGGATATTTCAATAGAAGAAAAACAAGAAAAGAAATAACCAATAACATCTGAATGTTTTATTTTCTCACCTGGAGTGCCGCTCATCCCTGGAAGACGTACTTGGGAACTTCGAGCTCCTGGGAATCTATGAGAATTGCAGAACCTTGACATTTCTGAAGAGTTGACATCAGCTCCCACTGATAAAACAGACAAAGCGAAAAGTCAGACATCGACAGCAGGAGATCAATGGATAAAAACGGACATAAACTGCAAGATGTTTCTGCTCCTCGTGAGGGATTATGTTCCCAGCACTGTTAGGGGGCAGCAAACTCACAATCCCAAGAAATAAGTTTGAGTTTGGTCATATCCATGCTCTCCTCCTACCTCCCTTCTTAATGGGGCACAAACAGGGAGAAAGGCGACCTATAGCTACCTGGTATTTGATGTTAATATTGTTTGCTGAAACTTGAACTTCTGCTGACGTAGAGGTTTTCTCAAGGACACTCAAGCCTTTGACTCTTTAAGTAAATATATTAAGTGGTGCTATCTTTGTTATGATTTGGCACTGATAGCCCACACAATTAAGCATGGAATTTCCTCAAAAACAAGCCAATTGGGAGTTTCATTTACTATTCACCACTTGCTAAATGTTTCCCTCATATCTGCATCGTAAATTTCTTTTTATTCTTACAGAATAGCTAGAGATCACCAGTTTAAGAAATCCTACAAGACTTTTTCCATGAGAGCTATGCACTCTCTCTCCAGCATCACCTCTCCATCTGCTTTTCACGATGCATTTCTTACACTGGAATGTGATAAAACCGTACACTGTACTTAGCCCTTCCCTGTAAAGGGGCAATGAGCTGTTTAAGGGTAAAGGGGTAGTTACTAAGCCCATGCCATCGTCTGTATTAAGTCTTATTTTTGTATTTCTACAAGGGTGGAAAGAGAGCCTGTTAAGTGAATGTACCTGTAATGAACAAGTTCATGCCAAACAGTGGAGTAGCTTTCAATTATTTTGGAGCCAAAGACCTTCACTTCATTCTGGAGTATTGAAACACAAAGATGGTCATTGGAAATGTTGGAAACTGGTTTTTTTCCTACATCAGTAAAAGCATACCACACTTCATTTTAAAATGTAATACAGAGTTATAGAAAATATATTCAAGGCCCAAGTGACAAATTGGTAAATAGCGAAAAGAATCAGAGCTTGAACAATTTACTTAGTTCTTCTGAGCACACTTTTCCAACCTGCGACATGGGGACAATGAGGGCTGCCCAAGACGACTGTGTTAAGGATCTGTGATAATTTATATGATGCATCTAGTACAGTGTTGGACTTAAAAGAAACTCATAATATTTGAGAATATATGCAAATGCTGGATTTTCATGGAATGACAGACACCCCTTTACTCACATTGATTAAGCAGTGCAATTACAACATAGACATGAGAAGAGAATCTGAGAAGACACCTCTATTTGTGGGTACCGGCATGAGCAAACACTAAAGGAAATTTTCCCAGAGGACTGTAATCCACCTCCAACACTAATGAAAGAACTTTGTAAGCATACACGTCCAAGTGTTAACCTTTTAATTGGTGACAATCTCCTTATTATGAAAGTTTTAAGAGGTACTTAGTGTGCCATAACATTTTGTCATAAGTGTATAATTCAGTAACTTTCAGTCAATTGTTAGAGCTGTGCAACCACTGCCACAATTCAATTTTAGAATATTTCCATCACCCCGAAAAGGCTTCATGTGCCAATTTACAGACATCCTCTATTTTCACCCCAACCTCCAGGCAGCCATTCTTTCTTCTGTAGATAAGCAAGCCATCAGTAACTTCCTTGCCAGCAAAGTTGATCCTGATTTATGATTTTTCTGATACTTTAAGTAAAGAGAAAGAAAAGTCATAGGGAAGATGATATAGTTTGGCTATGTTCTCACCCAGATCTCATCTTGAATTGTAGTTCCCATCATCCCCACGTGTCAGGGGAGGGACCTGGTGGGAGGTAATTGAATCACTGGGGCAGTTACCCCCGTGCTGTTCTGTGATAGTGACTGAGTTCTCATGAGATCTGATGGTGTGATAAGGGGCTTTTCCTCCTTTGTTCAGCACTTTTCTCTCCTGCTGCCCTGTGAAGAGGTGCCTTCCACCATAATTGTAAATTTCCTGAGGCCTTGCCTGCCATGCTGAACTGTGAGTCAATTAAACCTCTTTTCTTTATAAATCATGCAGTCTCGGGCAGTTCTTTATAGCAGTGTGAGAATGGACTAATACAGTAAATTGGTATTATCTCATTATAATGAGAGTGGGGTGCTACTGTAAAGATACCTGAAAATGTGGAAGCAACTTTGGAACTGGGTAACAGGCAGAGGTTGGAACAGTTTGGAGGGCTCAGAAGACAGAAAAATGTGGGAAAATTTGGAACTTCCTAGAGACTTGTTGAATGGTTTTGACCAAAAGGCTGATAGTGATATGGACAATGAATTCCAGGCAGAAGTGGTCTCAGATGGGGATGAGGAACTTCTTGGGAACTGGAATAAAGGTGGTTCTTGAAATGCTTTAGCAAACAGACTGGAAGCATTTTGTCCCTCCCCTAGAGATCCTCATCCTCTAGACCCCAGAATGGTTGGTCCACCAACAATTTAGACCAAGTCACAGACACTCAATGCCAGCCCATGAAAGCAGCTGGGAGGGGGGCTGTATTATGCAAAGCCATAGGGGCAGAGCTGCCCAAGGCTGTGAAAGCCCACCTCTTGCATCAGCATGACCACAATGTAAGACATGGAATCAAAGAAGATCATTTTGGAACTTTAAGGTCTCATGACTGCCCTATTGGATTTTGGACTTGCAATGGGGCCTGTAACCCTTTTGTTTTGGCCAGTTTCTCCTATTTGGAGCAGATGTATTTACCCAATTCTTGTACCCCTATTGTATCTAGGAAGTAACTAACTTGCTTTTGATTTTACAAGTTCATCGGTGGAAGGAACTTGCCTTGTCTCAGATGAGACTTTGGACTTGGACTTTTATTGGGTTAATGCTGGAATGAGCTAAGACTTTGGGGGACTGTTGGGAAGGCATGATTGTGTTTTGAAATGTGAAGACATGAGATTTGGGAGGGGCCGGGGGCAGAATGATATGGCTTGGCTCTGTATCCCCACCCAAATCTCATCTTGAATTCTAGTTCCCATCATCCCCATGGGTCGTGGGAGGGACCTGGTGGGAGGTAATTGAATCATGGAGGCAGTTACCCCCATGCTGTTCTCATGGTAGTGAGTGAGTTCTCACAAGATCTGATGGTTTTATAACGGGCTTTTCCCCACTTGCTCGGCATTTCTCTCTCCTGCCACCCTGTGAAGAGGTCCCTTCCATGATTGTAAGTTTCCTCAGACCTCCCCAGCCATGCTAAACTGTGAGTCAGTTGAACCTCTTTATAAATTACTCAGTCTCAGGCAGTTCTTTATAGCAGCATGAGAATGGACTAATACAGAGGAAAAACCACACTCACTTTTAAAACATGTTTTCCAATGTCAGACAGAGAAAGGGAAATTCAAATCTTCACTCTGCTACTTTCATCCTGGGAGATCTGGCCCAGGCCAACTTCCCTTCACTCAGCCTGAGATCTAGAGAAGTGCAATAAATGCTACACTCCTTGTCAGCCAGCTGTGAAGCTTAAAGCAAATGCTGTATGAAAAGGGTCTATCACTATGTCTGGAACATAGGGTGTGTTTCCTATATGCACATTACTGCCTCCACGCAACCTCCCATCTCCTATGCATGCACTGTGCTGATTTCTGAACAGGAGAGGACTGCCACTAAAAGTGTTAATAATCACTCACATGACAACACAGAGCATCTGTCACAGTAATTTTAAGGTGGATATAAAAATTACATAGAGTCTCCAGACATGTCTGCTTCATGTCTCTAATCCCATTTTCATGACAAATTTGTGAAGTGAAGAAGAGAATCGTATTGTATTCTACATTGTAGAGAACGGGAAATAGAAAGCCAGCAAGGTAGAGTGGTTGGACTCCCCCAAAGTCAGCTAAGTAATGGAGGAGCCAAGTATGAAACTCCTAGCTGATTTTTTCTCTCATTCAACAATATGGAAGGGTCAGCTTCTGAATGCAGATACACAGACTCATTAACTCTTCCTCCTTCCAACTGTCCTCAACATACACATACACACACAAAGTCCAAACAAAAAATGTAATTCAAATAGGTTCCCACTAAAACCAAGAGAGATATCAATTGATTTGCTCAGCATTTAGAACATTGAACTTGTCATATATTTTAAGGACACTACAACTGTAATGTAAAGCTTAACACTGAATGTGCTGTAGGCTTTTATTGAAGTGGATTATGCTACTTTGTGTCCCCTATGTGAAAACTTATGGGAAAGATTTCCCTCTGTATAAGTTCAAGTCCCTCAAGTAATTGATATATCTTTCTTTTATGCAAATGCTAAGTGCATAAGTTATTTTGTTTCTCTTTTTGATTTGAGTGTTTTTTTTTTTTTACCACTAATAGTTTCAGATCCAAATTTTCAGGTAAAATTTAAAATTGATTGCCAGGCATGGTGGCTCACACCTGTAATCCCAGCACTTTGGGAGGCTGAGGCGGGTGGATCATAAGGTCAGGAGATCAAGGTCATCCTGGCTAACACGGTGAAACCCCGTCTCTACTAAAAAAAATACAAAAAATTAGCCAGGCGTGGTGGCGGGTGCCTGTAGTCCCAGCTACTCAGGAGGCTGAGGCAGGAGAATGGCGTGAACCCGGGAGGCGGAGCTTGCAGTGAGCCGAGATTGTGCCGCTGCGCTCCAGCCTGGGTGACAGAGAAAGACTCCATCTCCAAAAAAAAAAAAAAAAAATTTAAATTGATTTAGGTACCAAGAGGCAGAGTAACTACATTTAAACCTATCAGTCTATCAATGAGTATTTGTGTTGTCTTTTAATTTTTTTCATTCCTAATTTTTATCTGGTAAAATGTTTTAAATTTATTTTATGATTGCACACTAGGGACCTTAAATACTCCACTGAAAAAGGTGAGCAGGAGGAAGAGAGAGTGACAACAGATAATAAATGAATATATATGTGAATGAAAAGTGTACAGATATTTTGCTTTTGTCAAAGACTGAGAACTTCAAATTGAAATTAGTATATACAACAAATATTATGTGTTAGATTTTGATTTTATGTTATAATTAGTTAAATAGTGAAATAAGTCAGAGAACTGTCAGACAATTAGAGAATGTGGAGAAAAGGCCAAGATAGAAGAGAATGATGGAATCAGAAAGGGGAAGTGACAGGAAGACACAGCCACACCCAGATGGGCAGAGAGAAGAAATGAGGGTTTGAAACAGGGATGAGGACAAAGAGGGCCCAGAGAATCTGCAAGTGTTGATATATTTGATTATAGGGATGAGAATATTAATATTAGGTTATATATCAGACTACTGATAAAAAATATACATTCTATAGTCAAATGTATAAACATTTTGCATTATTTAACCTTCTGCTTTTTGAATGTCACAGTTTCCCTGGACTAATTTGATGCAATATAATTCATTACCTATTGACAACCTAGGGTTTTATCTACATTTAACTTCTAATTCCACCCTATTCTATCTGCCATATCTGATTGAAGAACTAAGATGGAATTTATCCCTTTGTCCAGTGTTACGGGAAAATTGTATCTCAGGATAGTTTTGATGATAAAATAAATTGCAAGTGATAGCAGAAGACATTACTTTGGATAGTTACTTGTATCAACATGTGGGGCTCAATTCTTTATCAGTTAACAGTGATTACAGTTACCTACAATTCCCATGGAGAGGCCTCTTCCTTATATTCTGAATATCCTGATATTCAGATGGAAGTTTTTGTATTGTAATAAATATGCTTCTGGTCATTTCATTCTTCTCTCACCTGCCTTTCTTTCAAAGCTAGAGGGAAGATGTTATAATATATCAATTGTTCTTAATATTTATTTTTTTGTTCATGTCTGAGGCCAACAACCTAAGTTGGTTTCTAACTAGAGTGAAGTTGTGTCAATTGATGTTCAAACATAGGCTCTATTTGTTAGTCGTTCATTTATTTTTCTCTTACTGCCTTCTTTTGCAATAATTGAGCAGTTGTTTCAAAAGATTTAAATTTATCTCCACTATTGGTTTGTTATCTACACCATTTTGTTTTATTATTTTAGAATGCTGTTGCAATGTATAGAATATACATTTTCAACTCAGCACAGTATAATTACAAATAATATTATACCACATCACTTAGTGGATAAGAACTTCAATGTAGTATAATTTCATTTCCCTTCTCTCATTCTTTGTAATATTTTTGACATGTTTTACACACTCATATATTTTAAATATACAATACACTGTTATTTTTCTTATTTTCAATAATTATATTTTAAAGTGATTAAATGAAGAATATATTTTGCATTGTTCTGCAAATTTACTATTTTTGGTATTCTTCATTTATTCATGTAAATCTGAGCTTCCTTCTTCACCTTGACTTTTCAAGATTATTTTTACTGGGTCTACAAATCTAGGTTGGCAGTCATTTCCTTTCATCACTCTAAAGATGTAACTCCTTTGTCTTCTGAATTTCGTAATTTCTTTTGTGAAAGCTAGTTTTTCTTGAAAAGTAATGTATTATTTTTATCTGATTGCTATCAGATTTTCTCTTTGTAAAATTAAAACTACGATGAGTACTAAAAGAAGGGTATCATGATGTTTCAATAATACAAAAAAAGGAGGATTTGTACAAGTCAGTTCGATCATCCTTCATGAGTATTTTTACTCATCAACATTGTTGATAGTGGTATGGAAGTATGGATAAGTAGGAGGAAAATGAGTTTTATGCAGAGGTAAGACAATGAGCAGTGGTTCTCTGTTGGTACAAGCATGTTACTGAGGACTAACAGGCAGTTTAGTTAGAGCTGTAAATAATACAAGGAAGGGACTGAGATGCAAATGGGAAGTGGGGAGGGGCCAGGCCATGTGCAACATTGTAAGCCATGCAAAGAAATTGGTCTTTATCCTTAAAAAAGTGGGAAAACATTAAAGAGTTTTTAAGCATGGGATACCATGACCAGATTTCCATTTTTGAAAGCTCACATGGGTTAATAGGTAGAGTGGCTGAAAAAAGTATCAACTTAAAAAGGACCAGAAGGTTAATCTCTCAGCTTTTTATACATGAAAGTCATCAAGTTATCTTACTTACTTCATAATGATTCACTCACTTTGGACTCTGAGCTCACTTGATGAATTATCCTTCTTTTGAAATACTACAAAAGGCCAGTCTTTATTAACTATGATATTAGTCCATTTTCATCCTGCTGATAAAGACATACTTGAGACTGGGCAATTTGCAAAAGAAAGGTTTATTGGACTTACAGTTCCATGTGGCTGTAGAGGCCTCACAATCACGGCAGAAGGTGAAAGGCGTGTCTCACATGGTGGCAGACAAGAGAAGGGTGCTCGTGCAGGGAGACTCCCATTTTTAAAACCATCAGATCTCGTAAGACTTATTTGATATCATGATAACAGCACAGGAAAGACCTGCCACCATGATTCAATTACCTCCCACTGGGTTCCTCCCACAACACATTGGAATTGCGGGAGTTACAATTCAAGATGAAATTTTGGTGGGGACACAGCCAAACCATATCATTCTACCCCTGCCCCCACCAAATCTCATGTCCCCACATTTCAAAACCAATCATGCCTTCCCAATATTTCCCCAAAGTCTTAACTCATTTCAGCATTAACTTAAAAGTCCACAGCCCAAAGTCACATCAAAGACAAGGCAAGTCCCTTCCACCTAAAAGTCTTTAAAATCAAAAGCAAGATAGTTACCTCCTAGATACAATGGGGTTACAGGCATTGGGTAAATACAACCATTCCAAATGGGAGAAATTGTCCAAAACAAAGGTGATACAGGCACCAAGCAAGTCAGAAATCCAGTGGAGCAGTCAAACCTTAAAGCTCAAAAATAATCTCCTTTGACTCCATGTCTCACATCCAGATAACATTAATGTAAGAGGTGGGCTCCCACAGCCTTGGGCAGCTCTGCCTCTATGGCTTTGCAGGGTATAGCCCCCTTTCCCCATTCTGCCCCACCAGCTGCTTTCATGGGCTGGTGTTGAGTGTCTGTGGTTTTTCCAGAAGCACAGTGCAAGCTGTTGGTGGATCTACCGTTCTGGGATCTGGAGGATGCTGGGCCCTCTTCTCACAGCTCCACTAGGCAGTGCCCCAATAGGGACTCTGTGTGGGGACTCTGACCCTCATGTCCCTTCCACACTGCCCTAGCAGAGGTTCTCCATGAGGACCCCACCCCTGCAGCAAACTTCTGCCTGGGCATCCAGACGTTTCCATACATCCTCTGAAATCTAGGCAGAGGTTCCCAAACTTCATTTTTTGACTTCTGTGCACCCACAGGCTCAACACTACATGGAAGATGCAAGGCTTGGTTGGGGCTTCCACCCTCTGAAGCAACAGCCCGAGCTGTACCTTGGCCCCTTTTAGTCACAGCTGGAGTGGCTGGGATGCAAGGCACCAAGTTCCTAGACAGCACACAGCAAAGGGACCCTGGGCCTGGCACATGAAACCATTTTTCCCTCCTAAACCTTTGGCCCTTGATGGGAGGGTCTGCCTCAAAAGTCTCTGACATGCCCTGGAGACATTTTCTCCTTTGTCTTGGTGATTAACATTTGGCTTCTCATTACTTATGCAAATTTCTGCAGCCTCCTTGAATTTCTCCTCAGAAAATGGGTTTTTATTTTCTATCGCATTGTCAGGTTGAAAATTTTCCAAACTTTTATGCTCTGTTTCCCTTTTAAAACGGAATGCCTTTAACAGCAACCAAGTCACCTCTTGAATGCCTTGATGCTTAGAAATTTCTTCCACCAGAAACCCTAGATCATCTCTCTCAAGTTCAAAGTTCCACAGATCTCTAGGAAAGGGGCAAAATGCCACCAGTCTCTGTGCTAAAATGTAACAAGAGTCATTTTTGCTCCAATTCCCAACAAGTTCCTCATCTCCATCTGAGACCACCTCAGCCTGGATTTCATTGTCCATATCATTATCAGCATTTTGGTCAAGCCATTTACCAAGTCTCTAGGGAGTTCCAGACTTTCCCACATTTTCCTCTCTTCTTCTGAGCCCTCCAAAGTGTTCCAACCTCTACCTGTTAAAATGTAACAGGTACCTCTACCTGTAAAAATGTTCCAAAGTCCACATTTTTGGGTATCTTTTCAGCAGCACCCCACTCTTGGTACTAATTTACTGTATTAGTCCATTTTCTGATACAGTAAATTGGTACCACTGCTGACAAAGACATACCTAGACTGGGCCATTTACAAAAGAAAGAGGTTTATTGGACTTACAGTTCCACGTGGCTGGGGAGGCCTCACAATCATGGTGGAAGGTGAAAGGCACATCTCACATGGCAGCAGACAAAAGAAGAAGCTTGTGCAGGGAAACTCCCATTTTTAAAACCATCGGATCTCATGAGACGTATTCACCATCACAAGAACAGCATGGGAAAGACCTGCCACCATGATTCAATTACCTCCCACTGGGTTCCTCCCATGACACATGGGAACTGTGGCAGTTACAATTCAAGATGAGATTTTGGTGGAGACACAGCCAAACCATATCAAATCTGTATCTTACATATATGTCTATCTATGAGGCCTAGTCTTATCCATCTTTATAAATAAATATTTTCCATTTAACCCAAGAAAAAAAAAGACTAACTTATTATGATTCTTAAATAGAAGAAGGAAAGGAAGAAAGAGTGATGAGGAATTATAGAAGTGAAAAAGATAATGGATCTCAGAGAAAGCGTAGTCACAGAAGAAAATATAAGGTTGTTTCTGCCTGTATTAAACATAAACCTGGCTGGGCGCAGTGGCTCACACCTGTAATCCTAACACTTTAGGAGGCTGCAGCAAGTAGATCACCTTAGGTCAGGAGTTCGAGACCAGCCTGGCCAATATTGTGAAACCCTATGTCTACAAAAATACAAAAATTAGCCAGGCATGATGGCAGGCACCTGTAATCTCAGGTACTTGGGAGGCTGAGGCAGGAGAATCGCCTGAACCTGGAAGGTAAAGGTTTCAGTGAGCTGAGTTCATGCCACTGCACTCCAACCTGGGCAACAGAGTGAGACTCTGTCTCAAAAACAATAACAACAACAAAACAAAAACAAAAATGTAAACCTGACTTCAGTAGCTTAATAAAAGAGGAGTTTACTTTTTTTTTTTTTTCCATATAACAAGAAGTCCAAAGTCTGGCCATTAGAGATTAGCTAGCATTGGATTTAACCTTCTGTCATAAACAATTATAACAGATAAACAAAATACATTAAGCAACATTTTGTAGGCACTGGGTAGCAACCAATAGAGGAATATGACCTTGGCAGAAGAGGATAAGAAGTGAACCCCACATTGGTCCCAGATTTCTGCTTATGAGAATTTCCTAAACAACATCCTGGTGTAATACAACCAAACTTAGAGAATGATGGTTTCACTGGTTTTTTGAAACAGAGATTAAAATTTGGGACCGCCAGTCCCCTGGGATTTGAAGGGCAAGTATCAAAGAGTAGGAAGTCACAGAGAGAGAAACCCAAATATCTGCAAATATTCACCTGAAGTTCCTAATTCACTTATAAACTATGCAAATAAAGCTCAAGGATATAGTGGGCTACAGAGAATTGTTGGTAAGATAATGCAAACTAAAGAGAAATTTCAGGAATCACAGAGTGTTAAGTAAATGTGTCTGAGAAAATGGAGAGACCTTAATTTAAGTTGCAGAAAGACACTCCCCACACCCCACCATGAGTAAGTACTATGCTGCAGGTAGAAAAGATATTCCATGAAGACGGGAAATTTCAACTCACCCACAACAAACCTTAAGAAAGGTTTGAAATGATGGATACAATTCATTGATAATTTAACTACTGTCCAAACAAATATAAACTCTTCAGAAATATAATCCATATCACTCACAGCCTGTCACCTACAATATTGAACATACAGTAAAAAGATGAACAGATATTCAAAGAAACAGGAAAAAGTTATTGATAATCAAGAAATAAAAAGTCAGTGAAAGCTTGGTGCTGTGGCACGTGTCTGTAATTTCAGCTATTCAGGAGCCTGAGGTGGGAGGATCACTTGAGCCCAGGAGTTTAAGTGCAGCCTGGGCAACATAATGAAACTTCATGCCTAAAAAAATTTAAATAAAACATAAAATAAAAAATAAATGAAAAAATTTAAAAGTCAATGAAGATAGACCAAGAGATGATCCAGAGTTTAAGGTAGCAGACAAGGAATTCCAATTAATTGTGATAAATACGGAAAATAAAATAGGAAAACTGCTGGACAAAGTTGATGAAATTGAAATATTTGAACAGAGAATTATAATCAGAGTAAAAACCAAGCTGATAATCTAGCACTGGAAAATAAAAGACTCTTAGAATATAGCAAAGTAAACACAGCAGAAGACAAACTAGTGGACTTACCATCAGGAAAATGGAAAACAACTAAATTGAAGCAGAGATAAAAAATAATAACAAAATAAAAAACAACAAAATAGAGCACAAACTATATGCGGGACATAATCTAAAGAACTAACATATGTGTAATATGAAAGCCATATTTATATGGTGAAAATAAAGTGACAAATTCAAAGTACTGCAAAATAAAAAGAAACCAGATCCTTTGATAACCAAGAAATTATTAAATTTTCTATGCTGCGATTATCATGCATTGCACATGTATACCAAAATATCTCATGTACCCCATAAATATATACACCTATTATGTAGCCACAAAAATTTAAAATTTAACCATTAAAAAATTTAAATATAATAAAAATAAAAAATCCAAAAAATGTTATACTCAGTAAAAATAGGTGAGAAGTCAACTTATGATTAGAACTGAAAAGACCTCTCAGCTGGTGTGATCCAATGTGAGCTAGCGTTTTGGGAACAGTGGGAATCTTATGGCCAGCACAATGCTCGGGCCAGTAGGCACTCTTTTCCCACATGTCATGAGGCAAGGAGTGGAAACATTCTTTGAAGCACTGCCTGTGCCAGAGAAGAGGTGCAGTTTTGGTCAGCACCAGCCAGCACCAGCCAGCATGCCACTGGGCTCAATCAAAATGTCACTGTAGCTGATGGAGAATTCTCAGCTGATGTAGACAATAGTGGGCTGGTATGTTCCTAAAGGAAAGCTTGCTCTTCAGGCAAGGATTGGCATTGAAAGGGAAATTATGAGGCCTGGAGAGACATGAGCTGGCAGAGCTAGGAATGCGTAAATGCCTACAGGGTCATTAAATAAATTGAAGTTAGAAATCTTCCAAAAAGAGAATTCTCCAGGCCAAGATGATTGCACTGGCAACTTTTATCAAACATTTGAAGAAAAAATAAACACAATTCTATACAATCACTTCCAGAAAATAGATAAGGGAACACTTCACAACTTGTTTTTTTTTTTTGAGGCCAACATTGCCCAATACTAAAATCAGACAAAGATAATGCAAAGGAAGAAAACTACAAACCAATATTCCTCATGAACTAGATGCAAATATCCATAATACAATATTAGCAAAAGAAATTCAACAATATATAAACAGAATAATATACCACAACCAAGCAGATTTTATTGCAAGAATGCAAGGCTGTTTCAGTGTGCAAAAATCAATCATATTAGCAGATTAAAGAAGAAAAGTCTCATAGTTGTCTCAATGAATGGACAAAGCCATTCAAAAAAATTCAGCTCCTGCTCACAATAAAACCTCTCATCAAACTAAGAATAGCTTGAACTTCCTCAATCTGATAGAGTATCAACAACAACAAAAAGACAATAGCTAGTATCATACCATTAACAGTGAAAGACTGAATTCCATTTTGTTAAGAGCAGGAAAAAGGTAAGGATGTCTTTCACTGCTATTTGACATAGCACTAGAAACCAATGGAATAAAGAAATTAAAAGAAATACAAGACATCCAACTGAGAATAAACGAAATAAAATTGTTCCTATTTGCAGATGGCATAATTGTCTATATTAAAATTTCAAGGGATTTACAAAGGAAACTCTTAGTACTCAGTGAGTTAGGCAAGGTCACAGGATACAAGGTCAACACACACACACAAATGAATCATATTTTTATATACTATCAGTGAACAATTGGAAATATAAATTTAAAAAACAATACTATAAATTATAGCTCTAAAAATTGAATTCTTACATAAACGTCTAATGAAACCTATAGAGGAAATGTATGCTAAAAACTACATAATGCTCCTCTTCAAAGAAATCAAAGAGGACCAAAATAAATGGAGAAGCATACTGTGCCTAATGTTTGGGAAGACTAAGCATAGTAAAGATATCAATTGTCCTGAAATATCTACAGGTTTAATGCACCGCCTCTCAAAACCCCTAGCAGATTTTTTTCTGAGATACAGATAAGCTGATTCGGAAATTTATATTGAAAAGAAAAAGAACTAGACTAGGGAAAACAATTTTGACTAAAAAAAATAAAGCGGATGAATCACACTACAGGATTTATAAACTTACTATATAGCTATAGTAATCAAGACAGGATGGTATGACAAAGAGATATGCTCACACATCAATAAAATAGAACAGAGGGTCCACACATAAGCCCATACAAGTACAAAAGCAAATTTATTTTTGCCAACAAGCAAACACAATTTAGTAGAGAAATAATGGTCTTTTACAAAAATGATGTTGGAATAACTGGATCTCCATAGGCAAAAATTGAACCTTAACCTAAGTCTCACACTTTATACAGAAACTAAAAATGAATGATAGATCTTGAGGTAAACAGAATGGCCTCCTAATGATGACCATGTCTTAATCTCTGGAATTTGGGAATACGTAATTTTAACTTTGTAGAAGGGATTAAATGTATGGACCTTATACTGGGGAGATTATCCTGAATTTTCAGGATGGGCCCAATCTAATCACATTGTTACTGAAATGCCAGGGATTCAGTATAGGTCCTGCTGCTTGCCCACAGAGAGCCAACCACTGAGACAATGAGGATTGCCAGGGAAGAAGCCTTTAATCGGGGGCTTGCAGCTGAGGAGATGGGAGATCAGTCTCAAATTCATCTCTCCTACTGACTAAAATGAGGGGTTTATTTAGCAGGGAAGAAATATAACTATGTGTGGGAAAACAGGAACTAAGGGGTGATAAGGAAGCAATCACGATGAACAAGAGGCCTGGTGTCTCATTGTCTGGATGTGGTGATCTGGTGAGTTTCAGTTCTTTGATACTTTTTGAGAGGCTTGGGGGTTCTTTCCTGAGGAAGAAACTCAGATAAAACAAATTTAAGTTTTAAGCTTTAAGACCAGAAGGGTCCATTTCTACTTTTATTTTTAAAAACCTGTCTATGGGACTTTTGGGTTAGTTTTAACATGAGACCTTAAAGCAGAGAACTTTTTCCAACTTAGGTGACAGACAAGTGATAAAAAATAATTACGTAGAAGGAAGCCAGAGCAGAATAGAAATTCAGACAGATCCTAAGCATAAGAAAGATTCAATGATGCATTGCTGGCTCTGAAATGCAAAGACTGGAAAGAAGCCTCTGGAAGCTAAGATTGGCCTCTGACTGTCAGCAAGCCAAGAAATAGAGACCTCAGTCCAACAAGCATAAGGAGCTGAATTTTGCCAAAAACGTGAATTACTCCAGAAGTGCAATCTTCTGGAAACTCCCAATAAGAGCCCAGCCAGCTGACACCTTGATTTCAGCTTTATGAAAGAGTAAAGTAACTAATTAAACTCATCAGGACTTTTGACCTACAGAACTGAAAAAATAAATTGATAGTTTTCATCAGCTAAGTTTGTGGCAATTTGTTATGGCAGCAATAGGAAACAAACACACATCTAAATGTAAAACTACAAAACTTTCAGAAAAATATTTAGGAGAAAACCTTTATGACCTAGGTTTAGGCAAGAGTTCTTGCACAAAACACCAAAGCATGATTCATGAAAGAAAAAAGACCAATATGGTGGGCCTTATTAAATCTAAAACTTTTACTCCATGAAAGACACTGTTAAGAAAACAGGCCAGGTGCGGTGGCTCACGGCTGTAATCCCAGCACTTTGAGAGGCCAAGGCGGGCGGATCACGAGGTCAGGAGATCGAGACCATCCTGGCTAACACAGTGAAACCCCGTCTCTACTAAAAAATATTAAAAAAATAATTAGCCGGGCATGGTGACGGGCGCCTGTAGTCCCAGCTACTCGGGAGGCTGAGGCAGGAGAATGGAGTGAACCAGGAGGCGGAGATTGCAGTGAGCCGAGATCGCGCCACTGCACTGCAGCCTGGGCAACAGAGCGAGACTCTGTCTCAAAAAAAAAAAAAAAGAAAAAAAGAAAACAAAAATGAAGCCATAAACCAGGAAAAAATATGTCTGAATCAAATATCTGAAAAAGCACTTACATTGTAAATATATTTTTTAAATCACTCTCCAAATTTAGTAAGATACCAAACAATCTCATTAGAAAATGGGCAAAACCTGGACAGACATTGCACCAAAGAGGATACATAAATAGTAAATTAACACAAAAAAATTTAATATTTTTAGCCAGTAGGGAAATGCAAACTAAAGCCACAATGAGATATTACACACCTACCAGAATAGCTAAAATAATAAACTAACATAACTGATATCAAGGATGGAGAGCAACTGGAACTCTCAAATATTGCTGATGGGAAGTAAAATAATACAGCCAATTTTGAAAAAAAGCTTGGCAAAATTTACATATGAATTTTATACTGTATATATACATTTTATATGACTCAACCATCTTGCTCCTGGGAATCCTAGCAAAAGAAAAATTTATGTTCAAACAAAACTTGCGCATGAATATTCATAGGAGTTTTATTTGTTATAGCCCCAAACTTGAAACAACACAAATGGTCTTCAGTGAGGGAATGGATAAACAAACTGTGGCATATTCATGCAATGGCCTACTATTGAGCAACAAAAAAGAAAAAATATTGATGAACACAACTTGGATGGATCTCAAGTTCATGGTGTTGTGTGAAAAATCCAATAGTAATAGATCACATATTGTAGTATTCCATTTATAATACAGTCTCAAAGTTAAAAACTATAGTGATGGCATCTTAGTCTATTTTCTGTTGCTATAACAGGTTACACAGACTGGGTAATTTATAGAGAACAGAAGTTTATTTGGCTCCAGGCTCTGAAGTCTGGAAAGTCCAAGAACATGGCATTGACATCTGTAGAGGGTCATTCCACAGCAGAAGACATCACATGGCATGTGGGTGTCAGAAAGAGGAAACAGGCCCAAACTCATCCCTTGAAGAGGAGCCCACTTCCATGGTAACTAACCCACTCCCATGATAACAGAATTAATTTATGCATGAGGACAGAGCCCTCATTTACCTCTTAAAGGATTACTTCTTAATACTGTTACAATGGCAAGTAAATTTCAACATGAATTTTGGTAGGGACATTTAAACCATAGCAGATGGGGAACAGATCAGTGGTTGATGGAATAGATTTGCTTTGTTACTTTATAGGGTAGGATGATGATGTTTCTCTGGGGTAATTAAACAGTAATTAAATTATCCTAATTGTAGTGGAAGTTATATGAATTTATAAATGTGAAGGAATTTCATAGAACTATTTACCCAAAAAAAGCGTATGCAAAAACTGCCGAAAACCAAATAAGGTCTGTTTATATAGACAGTCAATACTAAGTTGAATTAGTATTCTTTCAATATCAGTTTTCTGGTTTTGATAATTGGATCACATATATGTAAAAAGCTATAATCGCGAGACCTAGGTGAGGTTACATGGAAAATCTCTAAATTGTTTTGCAGCTCTTATGTGAGTCCAAAATTATTTCAAATACAATGTTTAAAACATTTTAACATTATTGCTTATCTGGAGAAAATAAACTAAAACGTAATTATACTCTATAAACTCACCAAAATGGTTAAAATTTAAAACTCAATAATATAAAGTCTTTGTGAGGATGAGGCCCAACTAGATCACTCATATATTCTTGTTGGTGGTATAAATTGGTTCTATTACTTTGAAAAATCTGTGTCTATTTTACTAATTTTTAAACATACATCTACTCAAAGATCCTCAAATTTCACTCAGATGTATGTACCTCAAAGAAATGAGAGTTTGTGTTACAAAAGGCATAATCAATAATGTATATAACTGCTTTATTTATAATAGCCCATCCCTGGAAGCCATTCAAATGTCCATCAACAGAAGAGTGGACAAACAAATGGTGGTATAGTCATACAATTAAATGGTATACATCTCCATACAATGAAATACTACACTACTGTCACACACAACAGTGTGGGTGAATTTCACTGACATTATGAAGAGTGAAAAAATACTGGACACAAAAGATTTTATATTTCATGATATTATTGATATGAGGCTCAAGAGTAGGCAAAGATAACTGACAATGCTGAAGGTCAGACTAATGGGTTGAACATTACAGACACGGCTGTAGACTGGAAGGACACAGGGGACATTTCTGGGGTGATAGAAATGTTTTATACATTGACTTGGATGGTGGGTCCATGCTTGTATGTGTAAGTAAAAATTCCATGCACTCTTTAGATTTTTGCATTTTAATGTATTTAATTTACAGTTCAATTAAAAAAAAACCTGCTAAGATTTTTTTTCCCCAAAGTCTAGTCCTAAGTAGTATAAAGTTGACAAGAGGCTCAGGGAAGTCTGCAAGGATTGGGGGCACTTCTCTTCTGCTCCACCATGGAATATGTGGCTTTGGTTTGCTGCCTGCAAGATGATTGTTGCAGCCACCAGAACCACATTCTGCAAAGGAAGAAATGGAGAGAGTAAAGCGTAGAGGCCAAAGCCTGAAGACATAAGCCAACTGAGTCTTTCCCCTTTTAAATATGAACCCTGAAAGCACTACTAACTTACACGTCATTGGAAAGGATGGTGCTTTTTATGGCCACCCTGAATGTAATAGAGACTAATCATATTAGGTATCTTAACTGGGCTCATTGAGCCAACTTGAACAAATTAGCTAGAATAGAAATTAGGTAGAAGAAAGGGAGAATGGGTTTTGGGTAAGTAGCTAACAGTCTGAAGTAAATTAAGAGTCTAAAATCTATGAAGCCTTAGAAATTCTCTCACTTCTATCTTTGACCTTCTGTCTCCAGGTACCACCACCCATGCAATTGTGCTTTAAGGAAATCCTCTGGTGGGAAGCATTTTCATTAGGTCCTTTAAGTAACTTGTATTTGTCCCAAGGATATTTACTTTTATATCCATATACTTAATTCTCAAAACAGGTTTAGGAATTTGAGCAAGATTTTTGTCCCTTAGAGACGTGGGAAAAAGTGCTTAATAAAGGAGTTGAATGGGAGTTTTCATGGTGTATTCAATAGTAAACTGGCTGGGTAGCTTCCTCTCTCTCCCTGTTTTATTGTGAGGTTTTTGTTTGATTTTCCCCATACTTTTGCCACCCAGGATGTTGAATTTTGAGAATGACAAATAAGAAACTGTCAACAAATTGATGAGTTGTTGGTCTTTATTGGTTTCAGTCATTGCTAATATATTCATTTTGTTCAAACTTAGCCATTGCCAATTTGGTGAGCTATTCACCATTGAATGATACTAGAGGGAATACTTGGGCTGAGAGCAGTAGAAAGCATCCTTTCTTAAGTGCAGAGGTACTTGAGGAAAAGGCCCATGCTGTTAGTTCCAGCCTTCTGAATTTCCACTGAGCAAATACCCATAGAATACAGTTAGATAAGTTCCTTTTTCAGACTCCGCTTTGTCCAGCTTAGACTGTGGCCACATCATATCCCATTTCTCAGCTGTGTGATGGAACTTCCTGAAACTTGCTCATGGCTGTCCTTGGTCTCCTTGTTTGTCCCTGACCTGGATACCATTCCTCATGAGACCCACCTTGACAGCATTCTGAAACAGTGCAATGTCAGAACCAAAGTGGTATACACGAGGGTGGTGCAGGAGAATGAAGAACACACTCCAGTGGCCAGGTCAGAATGATTCTGATGGTTGTACAGAGCTTCCTGGAAGACAGTGGACTGGGATGGTCCTGGTAATGGCCCATTGAGCTTTACACAGCAGGCACATGGTGGTAGGGGTGGGCATATCTCAATATCTCCAGGTAACTCAGGTGATCCTCTTCATGCTGGTATACCTTGGGCTCCTAGATTTCAAAAGAAACATAAAATAGAATCATATGTTTTTGTATTTCATAGTACATGGACATCTCCCTCCTTCCTGCCCTTCCTCCCATGTCAACTACTTTCTCCTCCCCCGTCAGGGCCCAAATTAAGCATTGCTACTTCCAAGAAGCCTCTCCTTTCTACTCCAGACTTGGAAAAGTTTTATTTTATTGGGCACAACAAAATCCAAGAAAGCCATTCTGCTTGAATACATTCTGCTTGAAAACTATTCTGCTTTCTCAAACACATGCCAACTGTAGAGGTTGTTTCTTGGGGACTTGCAGCCTCCTGCCATCTGTTTAGCAATTATATTTAAATAATCAGTTTGAGTAATCATGTCCTTATGATGATTGAGCATTTGCTTTGCCCATTTCCTATTCTATGTCTTATTGCTACTGCTCTATCTCTACATGCTTGGAACATAAAAGATGTATGATGAATACTTCTTGGGTGGTGAATGAATTAATACCAAACACTGAATTAGCCAGCTACTCTTTTCCACCACCTTTGGCATTTTTATTTAGTTATGTGGCTTTCATTTCACTCTGAGATGTCAAGCCAATAACAGTATGGTTGCATCATTCTCACTTCTATGAATGCACTTCTTATATTAAACCCTTTGCAGCACTATTAGATTCTTGACAGCACTGAATCTGTTATTTGCCTCCAATAATCAACCTCAACATATATGCAACAACTATATATGTGTGTATATATATATATATATAACTCAATATATGCAACAACTATAGAATCAATAATTCTGTAGTTGTCAATATATGCAACAACTATAGAATTAATTCTATGCAACAACTATAGAATTATTAATCTTATGATTAAAAACTATAAAATTTTGTCTTGGGAAACACAATTAACTTCAACATGATCAATTACACCTTGAAAGTAGAGTGTTCTAAGTGGTATTAGTCAGTAACCATAACTTTTAGAACATGCCTTCAAATTGAAACAAGCCATCAATCACTTTTTTGGGCATGAAATCAGGCCCTAATTTCAACTCAAGTGATACTCTTTTAAAATCGAAGTGAAGTTATAAAAGAAAAGTTGAAAGATAATAAACAGTATATTGAAACAGACATAGGACAAGAGAGATAGTAAATAGAAAACAGAATCAAAGAAAATAAAGAGTAAACATACGGATAGTCAAACAAAATACATCTGGGAATTAAATCAAGATAAAGAAAGGCAGAAACAGAAACAGATACCAAGAAGAGTTAAGACATTAAGAAAATTTTAACATATAGAGCAATGTAGTATGTTATTGGTTTACTATGACTATGAGCATCTTCATTTTAAATTTTAAGATTTAATTGAAAGTCAGTATAATGGATTTTGTTATTCATACTCTTGTTTATGTACTAATGATCCTGATTTAATGTGAATGATTTGATATTAATTCTATATGGAAGGCAAGAGTCTTGGTCGCTAGATTTGGCTTCTACTCTTTCTAATCTCTTCTATTTGCAATATCCAATTGGCAAGGTTGAGCAGGTGTCTTTCTTTTTGGCCAGAATTATGGGTAATTGTCTTCCAGAGTTGTTCTAATGAAAAAAAAATCACATGCAGGGAAAAGAAAGTGCTTTAGAAAGTGCTCTGTACTCATGCAATGGGTTAATTTTATTATGATAGATACTAATAAGAAAACTTACCTGCAACGCTCATGGAAAGAGCTTTTCCTCTCTCTCTGGGCATTGAAGCTCTTTTGGTGACCATCTTCTTACCTGTCCTATTACTGATATATCTGCTTGATTTTTGAAACATTGTGATGAATGGTTTAATACATTGATTTCTTTCAATATTTGATTTTTTGGTCTCATGAGGCTGAAGTTGGGGTTATTTTTTTAACCAGAATAGCTAAATCTCAAATATATTAAGGAAAGTTGACCCATTGACATTCAAACTGAAACACTTATGTTCACCAACCTTTGATAGCCAGCCACCTCCAATTTTCATAGTCAAGCCTGGGCCTCTTATGCCAATCAACTTTGTTTTGGCTCTTCCCTTTCTCTTGGTCATTTCATCAGTATCACCTTGTGAACCCATCTCTGACTATTCCAGAGACATGAGAGAAGGAATATGTCTCATTTCCTGTCATCTAAATCCATAATTTCATAGGCTGAAAAAATGATGCCAGGTAGAGGAAGTGGCTTAGTTGTTCAAATCAGGGTTAAATGTAGGACACTACAGATTTTCCTCCTAATTTAGAGCCCAAACATTTTCCTCGAATGTCTCTCTCTCTCCCTTGCTCTCCATATGTTCTGATAACTTTCTGCTTTGCTATAATAATCCTTCTACTGACATCCTCACATGTGCCAGCCAGGCTCTGTGCTTGCCAAGGTAAACCCAAGTTAATCAAAATTGAATTAATTGAGGGTGAGCCTTTGAAAATCGTTGAGTGATGAGCTTGGCAATCCTCTCAAAAGTCAATAATAAAACTGGGCAAAATAGCCAAAAACAAACATTAAAAACTTTGGAAAATGACCAATGCATACCAAAAACTGAGTATTTATTCAAAACTGTCCACTGAATCTCAGGAAGGACAGCCTGTGGTTTCTTCCTTGGGGTTACTCTTATTTAACTCCCAGCTCTGGAGTGTAGAAGTTCTATCAGTGTGTGGCAGGCAGAGAGGACTGGCAGCAGAGGTTACTGACTTTATTTTCAGCAGTAAGAGGGAAATATGCCCAAGGGCACTGCCAAAAACAACAGTGTTTTAAGGAGCAAATGATCAGGGAAGGCCAATGTCACAGCTAGTCTGAGCTCTTCATACTAGCTGGAGCAAGCAATAGACCCACGAGAAATTTAACAAGGGGTTTGGGGGAATGCGAGAGCCAACAAGGGTTTTGATAAGATCATATTTATCCATTGTGGTCTGGAAGGTTGTTCACATGCACAGGCTTCTTTCAAGCTCAGGAAAAGACCAGAAGGAGCAGCACAAAGCCAATTGTCCCTGGCTAACTAGGAAGGCTGCAAACACAGAAAGTAAAGGCAGACAGAGCTGAACATTGCCTGATCTTTGTTTAAGCACAAGCTCTGATCAATCATTGGCTGACCACTAACCTATCCTGACCCTGTGACAATCCCAGAAAGCCAGGCTTAGGGTATAAAAAAAAGTCTTGTTTTGTTTTGTTTTGTTGTTAAGTAAGCAGTAATTTTGAGCTGTAAGAGACATCAATGGCAGCAGAGTATGGAATAAATTGGTGACATCTGAATCCAAAATTGTTACAATCTACTAGTAATGATATTCAAATATAAAAAATGTAGAATATGTAAAGAAACAGGAAAGTGTGACCCTTTTGCAGGGAGTAAAAGTAGTCAGTAGAAATAGTCTTTAAAGAGGCCCAGGTATTAGATTTAGCAGACAAAACTTGAAACAGCTATTAGAAATATGTTCAAGAAACTAATCTTACATATACCAAAAGCATACCTGGTGCCTTCACAATTCACTTCATATTGTATGTAGAGTGGGTGCTTGTCTTAAATGGCTTGGAACAACCTCAGTTTATGTACATCATGCCAATACCATTTCATATTGTATTGGGAGCATTATAACTACTGTCCCTTTTACTCTAAAAATTGTCCTTTGGATGAGAAAATTATATCCATACATATAAGTATAATATAGATATAAATTATATGTATTTTATACGTATATAACTGTAACTATAAAAAGGCAAGAAATATTTAAAAACAAAAAAATTATTTTGCCATAAATTTTGAGTGCTTCATGAATGCAGCAGATAAAATGTAGGTCATATACTTCGTCTTCATATTTTCCATATTTTTCTTCAAACACTAACACTTCTCAGTGATATGTAACTTCTACAAGTTCTACAAGGAACATTGAAGTTTGTCAAACCCTTCATATGCATCTTTAAGGCCAGTTTTTAGAGCTATTCTTTTTTGTCATATAAGGAAGATAGATTATGTGAATTTCAAAGTGGTGTGTGTGTGTGTGTGTGTGTGTGTGTGAGAGAGAGAGAGAGAGAGAGAGAGATTCTGAGAATAACTTGACCCCTTTCAGAGTGTAAATAATTTTTTCCATAGATTTCAGTAGATATTATGTTCTACTTGTTAATATTTGTGGGCAAAGACGATCTCCAGGATGGCGGCATGAAGAGCTTTAATGACTCCTTCACCAGCAACCATAATTGTTAAAAATATTTTCTTTTTAATGTAAAGTATCTTTAAATTGTCCTAAGGGCATGTAGTAAGTAAAGAAATATTTTTTTCAAGAAAATCTTCTGTATCTCTAGAGGGACAGGACTAATAGGGTAGATGTATATATGAAAGGGAGTTTATTAAGGAATATTGACTCATACAATCACAAGGTGAAGTCCCACAATAGGCCGTCTGCAAGCTGAGGAGCAAGGAAGCCAGTCTGAGTCCCAAAACCTCAAAAGTAGGGAAGCCAATAGTACAGCCTTCAGTCTGTGGCTGAAGGCCTGAGAGCCCCTGGCAAACCACTGGTGTAAGTCCAAGAGTCCAAAAGCTGAAGAACTTGGAGTCTGATGTTCGAGAGCAGGAAGCATCCAGCATGGGAGAGAGATGAAAGCCAGAAGACTCAGCAATTCAAATCCCTTCAACTTCTTCCTGCTGTATTCTAGCCATGCTGGCAGCTGATTAGAGGACACCAGATTGAGGGTAGGTCTGCCTCTCCCAGTCCACTGACTCAAATGTTTATCTCCTTTGGCAACACCCTCACAGATACACACAGGAACAATACTTTGTATCCTTCGATCAAGTTGACACTCAATATTAACCATCACATCTACTAAATCTCAGTAAGAACAAGAGACTGTAGCACTTGAGCTACAATTCATCCCCTTTTCTCCCCACTGCACCCACTGTTCTGTATGATGGAGCACTGCTCTGGGTGGGTAGAGCCACTTAGACTGGTCTTTCTTCCCCCAGCTCCCAGTTGAGGACCACAGCATCTTCCCAGAAGGGGGAGGCTGCCAGCATTTCCCACCACCTGCAACCCCCTCCCAGATCCATGTTCCAGAGGCTGAATTCCAGGAGAGGGCAGCCCAGAGTTCTTCCACCAAGCCCTTACTCATAGGAAGCTCTATCCCAGACACAGCAGGCTGAGAATAATGGGGCTCTAACCTCTCCCACCCAACTCATTCATAGGGCAGAGGTTCCATTACTGGAGAAGCAAGCCAAGGAGACCAGAGGCAGCCCTCCAGCCCAGTTTCCTGATCATAAAGCAAGAGTGTCACTCCAAAAGAATCAGACCACCTCTGCACCCACTAGCTCTGAAGAAATGGCCCAGAGATTATTTGCAAGTGGGGAGAGAAAGGCAATGACCACAAACAAAGGTCATTTCTTTCCCCAAAGGAGCTAACTTGCTTTGGAAAAGAGCATGGGGAAAGTCAAGCCTAAGGGTTCCCTTAAAGGCAATGTAGATTTTGGTGGTAAGCAATTAAGAAGAGGCTTGTATTTCCATGAGAATAGCAAGCTAAACCATAGGCTAGCTAGTTTACCAGATAGAGAATAGCACATAAAGAGATATAAATTATAAAATAAAAAAGAAAATGAAAGTTTTGGAGTTAAAAAGTACAGCAAAGAACTGAAATAGAAAATTTACTAGAGGGGTATAAGAGTAAATTTGAATTGTCAGAAGAAAGAATCAGCAAACTTAAAGGAAAATGAAAAGTTTTGTGATCCTAAGAAGGAAAAAAAGAATGAGGGAAAATAAACAGTCTGAGAGAAATGAAGGACCCCATTAACTGAACTGACAAATGTGTAAAGGAAGCAACAGAAGGAGAGGAAAGAGAGTAGGGAGTAGACAAATCAGCAAGAAAAAAACAAATGCTCCCATCAAAAAGTGGGCAAAGGATATGAATAGAGAATTCATATACAAATGGCCAACAAGCACATGGAAAAATGCTCAACATCACTGATTATCAGGGAAATGCAAATTAAAAGCACAATGAGATACCACCTGTATTAGT
The DNA here is from genome assembly GCF_000001405.40 of Homo sapiens. Lineage (NCBI taxonomy): Eukaryota > Metazoa > Chordata > Mammalia > Primates > Hominidae > Homo > Homo sapiens. Next base: position 33,139,209 of record NC_000022.11, on the reverse strand, counting down.
CTGTTTTCACACTGCTGATAAAGACATACCCAAGACTGGGTAATTTATAAAGGAAAAGGGTTTAATTGGACTTACAGTTCCACGTGGCTGGGGAAGCCTCACAATCACGGTGGAAGGCAAGGAGGAGCATGTCATGTCTTACATGGATGGCATCAGGCAAAGAGAGAACTTGTGCAGGGACTCTCCCATTTTTTGAAACCATCAGATCTTGTGAGACTTATTCACTATCACGAGAACAGCATGGGAAAGACCTGCCTTCATGATTCAATTACCTCCCATTGTGTCCCTCCCATGACACATGGGAATTCAAGATGAGATTTGGGTGGGGACACAGCCAAATCATATCATTCCACCCCTGGCCCCTCCCAAACTTCATGTCCTCACGTTTCAAAACCAATTCATGCCTTCCAAACCATCCCCCAAAGTCTCAACTCATTTCAGCATTAACTCAAAAGTCCACAGTCCTGGCCAGGTGTGGTGGCTCGTGCCTGCAATCCCAGCAGTTTCGGAGGCCGAGGTGGGCAGATCACCTGAGGTCAGGAGTTTGAGACCAGCCTGGCCAACATGGTGAAACCCTGTCTCTACTAAAAATACAAATAATAGCCAGGCGTGGTGGCACATGCCTGTAATCTCAGCTACTTGGGAGGCTGAGGCAGGAGGATCACTTGAACCTAGCAGGTGGAGGTTGCAGTGAGCTGAGATTGCCCCACTGCCCTCCAGCCTGGATGACAGAGTGAGACTCTGTCTCAAAAAAAAAAATGAAAAAATAAAAGTCCTCAGTCCAAAGTCTCATCCGAGACAAGGCAAGTCCCTTATGCCTATCAGCCTGTAAAATCAAAAGCAAGTTAGTTACTTCCTACATACAATGGAGGTACAGGCATTGGGTAAATACGGCAGTTCCAAATGGAAAAAATTGGCCAAAACAAAGGGGTACGGGCCCCATATAAGTCCGAAATCCAGTGGGGCAGTCAAATCTTAAAGCTCCAAAATGATCTCTTTTGACTCCATGTCTCACGTCCAGGTCATGACAATGCAAGAGGTAGATTCCCACGGTCTTGGTCAGCTCTGCCACTACGGTTTTGTAGGGTACAGACTCCATCCCTGCTGCTTTCACAGGCTGGCACTGAGTGTCTGTGGATTTTTCAGGCACATGCTGCAAGCTGTCAGTGGATCTACCCTTCTGGAGTCTGGAGGATGGTGGACTTCTTCTCACAGCTCTACTAGATGGAGCCCCACTGGGGACTCTGTGTGGGGGCTCCCACCCAACATTTCCCTTTTGTACTACCCTTGCAGAGGTTCTCCATGAGGACCCCACCCCTACAGCAAACTTCTGCCTGGGCATCCAGGGGTTTCCATATATCTTCTGAAATCTGATTGGAGGTTCCCAAACCTCAATTCTTGACTTCTTTGCACCCACAGGCTCAACACCACTTGGAAGCTGCCAAGGCTTGGGGCTTGCACCCTCTGAAGCCACAGCTGAATTAACTGGGACACAGGGCACCAAGTCTCTAGGCTGCACACAGCACAGGGACCCTGGGCCTGTCCCACAAAACCATTTTCTCCTAGGCCTCCAGGCCAGTGATTTGATGGACTGCTGTGAAGACCTCTGACATGTCCAGGAGATATTTTCCCCATTGTCTTGAGGATTAACATTCAGCTCCTCATTACATATGCAAATTTCTGCAGCCAGCTTGAATTTCCCCTCAGAAAATGGGTTTTTCTTTTTTATCACATTGTCAGGGTGCAAATTTTCTGAACTCTTATGCTCTGCCTCCCTTATGAAACTGAATGCCTTTAACAGCACCCAAGTCACCTCTTGAATGCTTTGCTGCTTAGAAATTTCTTCCTTATTAGCCAAAATTTGCTTCCTCATTAGCCAAATATTCACCTTGCAATGATGCAGCTCAACATCAAAGCTGGAGTAGTAATTCCCAGGCACCCTGCAAGCAAAGACTCCCATGGCCTCCTTTAAATCCCTCTGGGCATTGTACAGGACCCCTGTGAAGATGATGGGCTTGAAAGGAAGAGGAAGTTTTCCACTGAGCTTCACAGTAAAGGCTGACCTTTCTATATCAGGACAGGGGCATTTTGTCATTTCACTTATTTCTCCTGTATATTGTGGTAAACCTGGGGCACCAGGACATTCCAGAAAAAATGAGAAACAACCAACGAGAAGCTGACAACTCAGTGGGCACATTTAGTCATTCATTTCATGGCTATGGAACTTCACAAGCTCTCTTTGAGACATATAGATCTCCAGTTTATTTTTTTTTTTACCTTAATATTTGTGGTTCTAATATCAGCTTCAGTTTTCTCCTCCCCTAACAGAGCCCTCAAAACAACCCACCTTGGAAGGTAATACCCACTCCTTTATTTCCCACCCTGCCTTGATCCATATACTTAGCTTTCCCTGGATCACATGTCCCAAGCTTCATTATCCTTGACTTCAACCATGGCTATTTCTGGACCTAAATGGTCATGAAACTAATTGCATCTTAAGGCTTTGTATTGCCTTCCCAAGTTCCCAGGATTTATATTAAATCCCCCATGCTTGCTCAGGTGTTTCCTGTTTTGCCCTTAACATCCCAAGCAATGATTAGGGTGTCAATTCAACACTATCAATCTGTTTTAGGTTAATTGTAAAAAAAATATTGCTTTGTTGGTGATATGGTTTGGCTGTGGCCCCACCCAAATCTCATCTTGAATTGTAGCTCCCATAATTCCCACATGTTGTGGGAGGGACCTGGTGGGAATTAATAATCATGGGGGTGGTTTCTCCCATACTGTTCTCATGGTAGTGAATAAGTCTCACAAGATCTGATGGTTTTATAAGAGGAAACCCCTTTCACTTGGTTCTCATTCTCTCTTGTCTGCTGCCATGTAAGATGTGCCTTTCACCTTCTACCATAATTGTGAGGCCTCCCCAGCCATGTGGAACCGTGAGTCTGCTAAACCTCTTTTTCTTTATAAATTACCCAGTCTTGGGTATGTCTTTATCAGCAGCATGAAAACAGACTAATACAGTTGGCATAGCATCATTTTTAAGAATATGAACTTTTGGTTTATAAAGAGAGCAAACCACATTCTGTCCTTCTGTCCTATTGTCCTATTATCCAGCACCTAGTCCAATTACTTAAATTCTCTGAGTCTCTGTTTCTTTGACCACACAATAGAGGAGGAGGAAACAATCATATATTCTCATAGGACTATTATGAAACTTCAAGAAGATAGGAAAGAGACAATCCAATAAAAGTACTTACCACAGTGTCAGGGAAACAATAGTTCTAAATGAATATAAACTATTATTTTATTTCTGTTGGCTTCTCACTTTTATTTTATTTTATTTTATTTTGTTTTATTTTTATTTTTTGAGATGGAGTCTTGCTCTGTTGCCCAGGCTGGAGTGCGGTAGAGCAATTTCAGCTCACTGCAACCTCTGCCTCCCAGGTTCATGCAATTCTTCTGCCTCAGCCTCCCAAGTAGCTGGGACTACAGGCATGTGCCACCGTGCCCGGCTAATTTTTGTATTTTTAGTAGAGACAGGGTTTTGCCATGTTGGCCAGGCTGGTCTCAAACTCCTGAACTCAAGTGATCCACCCACCTCCGTCTCCCAAAGTGCTGGGATTACAGGCATGAGCCACTGTGTCCGGTCGGCTTCTCACTTTTAGATTAGGCTTTGTGCTCATGATGAAGGTTTAGAAAAATGTAGCAACAAATTTATGGAATGTTGTTTATTTTCCCCTAACTTCAATTAATCTAAAATGTATTTAATGATATTGTTTTTCCTGGAGATTTTGAATCCAAGGATCTCGGTCTTTTATCTTTGAGATAAATGAGACTGGAAGTCACCAAACCGATAGCCTCTTGAACCCAAGGCAGGACAACACCTGGATATCCAGTGACTATTCTATTAGAAGCAAGGGAAACTTTGCACAATGTGTGGACTTCCCTGAAACTCTCATCCAACCCAGCCTTACTCAGCTACAGGCAGAGGGGCATCAAGTCCCATCCACTCCTGAGCCAACCTGGAAAGGAAATGACTTCTGCAGGCCTGTTCTACAGTGGGTAGTGTCTAAGATGAATCCTTCTACTACACCCATGTGCTCACTGAGAGCCAACCCAAGGATAATCTGTTATTTGCCCAGTTAATATGGTTCAATCCTGCTCTTCTCCTGGGGCTGTTTTCCTGCTAAAGTTTTTGCTGCCTTTCTTTCCTGGCTCTAAACCAGGCAGATGACCCAGCCCCAGCACTCTTTGATCACAAGTGGTAACTGCTTCACAGCCCCTACCATAAATCTGCCTCCACCTATGAATCTGACTCTTCACATATAAAAGAAATCTGGGTCCAGGAAGTTTCATTTTTTTCCACTGGATCTATGATTCAGGCTGATGATCACTCTACAATGATCAGTTTTCCAAGATTCTGAGCCTAGGAGAAGGATGACATTCCCAAACAAAAGGAGAAAAGGAGAGGGGCATTTTAAAGCAAAAGAAATAGACTTCTTACCTGGTGCACCAGGAGGCCCCACTTCTTCTGGGGGCCTGGGGTGTGCTGGAGGTCCAGCAACTTCTACATGCTCAATGACTGCCGTTATTAAGACAGGTATGACCACTATCCTAAAACATAGAATGTGGAAATAAAAAGGAGTTCTTGGCCGGGCGCTGTGGCTCACGCCTGTAATCCCAGCACTTTGGGAGGCCGAGGCGGGCGGATCACAAGCTCAGGAGATTGATATCATCCTAGCTAACACGGTGAAATCCCGTCTCTACTAAAAATACAAAAATTAGCCAGGCGTGGTGGCGGGCGCTTGTAGTCCCAGCTACTCGGGAGGCTGAGGCAGGAGAATGGCGTGAACCCGGGAGGCGGAGCTTGCAGTGAGCAGAGATTGCACCACTGCACTCAAGCCTGGGCGACAGAGCAAGACTCTGTCTCAAAAAAAAAAAAAAAAAAAAAGGGAGTTCTTTGTGAGTGCAGACTATGACATGGGTAGACTTACAGCCTGTACTGGCACAAGATCATTCATTGACTTTAGAAATAAATGCATCAAGTTTCAAATTTGGTTTGCTGGTTTACGGGGAAGTTAACTTTCCTGAACCTCTCTAGTTCCTTTGGTTCCTTCATCACAGCACTCATCCTAGTGTAGGACTGACTTAGTTGAAGGAGTGATTGTCTTTGATTTTCATTGTACTGCAAATTTTTGTATTTATTTAATCTCCCTGAACATGGTTTTTTCTTAAATATGCTTATTGAATTATTAAATGCTTTATGATCACTATGAAAAATAATATATTGAAGGCTTAAAGTGAGAAGTCATCTTTAACCCAGCACACATTCTCTTTATAAGTGCCCTGGCTCAGAAACAACAGATGCTGGAGAGAGAGGTTGTGGAAAAATAGGAATGCTTTTACACTGTTGGTGGGAGTGTAAATTAGTTCAACCATTGTGAAAGACAGTGTGGTGATTCCTCAAGGATCTAGAACTAGAAATACCATTTGACCCAGCAATCCCATTAGTGGGTATATACCCAAAGGATTATAAATCATTCTACGATAAAGACACATGCACACATATGTTTATTGCGGTACTATTCACAACAGCAAAGAGTTGGAACCAACCCAAATGCCCATCAATGATAGACTGGATTAAGAAAATGTGGCACATATACACCATGGAATACTATGCAGTCATTAAAAAGGATGAGTTCATGTCCCTTGCAGGGACATGGATAAAGCTGGAAACCATCATTCTCAGGAAACTGTCACAAGATCAGAAAACCAAAAACTGCATGTTCTCACTCATAAGTGGGAGTTGAACAATGAGAACACATGGACACAGGGAGGGGAACATCACACACTGGGGCCTGTCAGGGGCAGGGGACTAGGGGAGGGATAACATTAGGAGAAATACCTAATGTAGATGACGGGTTGATGGGTGCAGCAAACTACCATGGCACGTGTATACCTATGCAACAAAACTGCACGTTCTGCACATATACCCCAGAACTTAAAGTATTAAAAAAATAAAAATAAGTGCCCTGGCACAGGTAATTGTTTCTTCTTCCTACAGGACCCAGTAAATTTTCTCCATAATCTCCTGAAATATTTTTTTACTATATGAACAATCCCTTCTTCAACATCTTCCTCAAAGGAAAAACTGTTTCATCTCTCTCCAGGAAGAAATAAAGGAGGCCTAATTTCTTCAATGGCCTTAGTCTTTTAGAAATAAAAACCAATAGGGGAAATACCTTTAAAGAAGCTTCTGCTTCCTACCTTGCCCTAAATGTCCCAGGACACAATAACCAGAGCCTAAAAAAGAAAGTATAAGACGGGAAACAATAAATTATCGTCTTAAAAGTGTATGTTACATGCACGATAATAGATGAAGAATTTCGTTTTCCCAGGGCAGTCTGGAAGTGATGTGGTGAGAATCAAGGAGGAATAAAAGAAGCAAATGATTTGCTACTTGAGGAGGGTGGACACATCAAAGAAGGACCAAAGAATCTGTGGTTGCTGAAAGGCCAGAAAAAATCTTAGACAACCAGACTCCCTGTAATAAATTTTAATTTAAGTGCTGTGTGTTCTATCATACATGAGGAGTTATTAGGCTGATAAATCAAAAGTAAAAACTCTTTTGCTTCATAAAAACTTGAGCTTCCAAATTAAATTTTTAAGTACAAAAATACTAATAATGACTTTTAATTCAACATTATATTTAAATAGTTATGGAGGCCAGAAGCAGTGGCTCATGCCTGTAATTCCAGCACTTTGGGAAGCCTAGGTGGGAGAATTTCTTGAGCCCAGGAGTTCCAGACCAGCCTGGCAACATGGTGAAACCCCGTCTCTACAAAAAACACAAAAATTAGCGAGGCATGGTGGTGCACGCCTGTAGCCCCAGCCACTTGGGAGGCTGAGGGGGGAGGATCCCTTGCGCCAGAAAGGTCGAGGCTGCAATAAGCTGTGATTGTGCCACTGCAATCCAGCCTGGGTGACAGAGTGAGATCCTGTCTCAAAAAAATAAATAAATAAATAAGTAAATACACAAATAAATAGTTATGAAGGTTGATATGGTTTGGCTGTGTCTCCACCCAAATCTCATCTTTAGTTGTAACTCCAACAATTCCCATGTGTCATGGGAGGAACCTGGTGGAAGGTGATTGAATCATAGGGGTGGGTCTTTCCTGGGCTGTTCTCGTGATAGTGACTGAGTCTTATGAGATCTGATGGTTTTAAAAACGGGAGTTTTTCTGCACATCCATGTAAGATGTGACTTTCTCCTCCTTGCCTTCTGCCATGATTGTGAAGCCTCCCCAGTTATATGGAACCGTGAGTCCAATTAAGCCTCTTTCTTTTGTAAATTGCCTAGTCTCAGGTATGTCTTTATCAGCAGCATGAAAATGGACTAATACAGAGGTGATACGGTTTGGCTGTGTCTCCACCCAAATCTCATCTTGAATTGTAGCTCCCATAATTCCCATGTGTCATGGGAGGAACCCAGTGGGAGGTAATTGAATCTTGGGGGTGGGTCTTTCCCATACTTTTCTCGTGATAGTGATTACGTCTCACAGATCTGATGGTTTTATGAAGGACAGTTCCCTTGCACATGCTCTCTTGCCTGCCACCATTTAAGAGGTGTCTTTGCTTCTCCTTTGCCTTCGACCATGATTGTGAGGCCTCCCCAGCCATGTGGAACTGTGAGTCCATTAAACCCCTTTCCTTTATAAATGACTCAGTCTCGGGTATGTCTCTATTAGCAGCGTGAGAACAGACTAATACAGGAGGCTAGGGAGAGAATAGGCAATGAGACATGAGAGAACATCTGGGAATAGGGATAAAGGAAGGCAGAAAAGGGCCATTAAAAAAGGAAAAACAGTCAAACACAGAATCACAGTGGCACACTGAGAGAGAGAGAGAGAACAGACTCAGGGACAGAGAGGGATGGGGACAAAAGTAGAAACTTTGTAGGTTTTACACGGTTCCTTACCTTGGGCTATAATAGCAGGTTAAAAGAAGGGAAAGCAGTTCTGATATAAGAGATGTATTTAATTATTCTAGTCCTTAAACAGTACACCCACTTGCAAATCTCATAGGAAGGTCTCTTTCACTTTCCTGAAGCATCATGACTTACAGATGAAGTTTTTCGATAGTTACTTTTTTTTTTTTTTTTTTTTTTTTTTTTGAGACGGAGTCTTGCTCTGTCGCCCAGGCTGGAGTGCATTGGCGCGAGCTCTGCTCACTGCAAGCTCCGCCTCCCGGGTTCACGCCATTCTCCTGCCTCAGCCTCTCCGAGTAGCTGGGACTACAGGCGACTGCCACCACGCCCGGCTAATTTTTTGTATGTTCAGTAGAGACGGGGTTTCACCGTGGTCTCTATCTCCTGACCTCGTAATCTGCCTGCCTCGGCCTCCCAAAGTGCTGGGATTACAAGCGTGAGCCACCACACCTGGCCTCGATGGTTGCTTTCTCACCTGTCCCGTTCTTGTCTCACTTGCTGAGGGTCAAGGTGTTGAGGTGAATAGTTCAACACTTTGATTTCGCTGAGTATTTACTTTTCTGATCTCTCCTGACCTGGGGCTAGTGGCCTCATTATTGTTTAACTAGAAGGCAATTGGGCAAGTGGCATTTGTTTTTCTGAAACCGATTTGCACAGATAGCCTGGAGTATGCCCATTGCATGGCCTCTTAGCAAGTGGACTTAGAATTTTTAAAAGACATTATTATTATTAGACAGTGTCTTGCTCTGTCACCCAGGCTGGAGTGCAGTGGTGCAATCTCGGCTCACTGCAACCTCCTCCTCCTGGATTGAAGTGATTTTTGAGCCTCAGCCTCCCGAGTAGCTGGGACTACAGGAATGCACCACCATGCCTGCTAATTTTTTTTTTTTTTTTTTTTTTTTTTTTGAGACGGAATCTCACTCTTTCGCCCAGGCTGGAGTGCAGTGGCGCTGTCTCGGCTCACTGCAAGCTCTGCCTCCCGGGTTCACGCCATTTTCCTGCCTCAGCCTCCAGAGTAGCTGGGACTACAGGCGCCCACCACCACGCCCGGCTAATTTTTTGTATTTTTAGTAGAGACGGGGTTTCACCGTGTTAGCCAGTATGGTCTCGATCTCCTGACCTTGTGATCCGCCCGCCTTGGCCTCCCAAAGTGCTGGGATTACAGGCGTGAGCCACTGTACCTGGCCCTAAAATAGTTTTAGAATGAAATAGAAGTTGCAAAAATAATAGAGCTCACATACGCTTTTAACTTAACTTCCCACGATGATGATACGGTTCGGCTGTGTGTGTCCCCACCCAAAATCTTATCTTGAATTGTAATTCCCTTAATCCCCACGTGTCAAAGGTTGGACCAGGTGGAGGTAATTGGATCACGGGGGCCGTTTGCCCCATGCTGTTCTCGTGATAGCGAGTCTCATGAGATCTGACGGTTTTAAGTGTCTGGCACTTCCTCTGCCTGCACTCAATCCATCCTGCTGCCCTGTCAAGAAGGTGCCTGCTTCTCCTTTGCCTTCCACCATGATTGTAAGTTTCTTGAGGCCTCCCAGCCATGAAGAACTGTGAGTCAATTAAACCTCTTTCCTTTATAAATTACCCAGTCTCGGGCATTTCTTCATAGCAGTGTGAGAACGGACTAACACCGATGACTTTTATTTTTTTAATACGTGCGTATATATATATTTTTTATTATACTTTAAGTTTTAGGGTACATGTGCACAACGTGCTTTACATTACTCTAATACAGTGATCAAAACCGTGGGATTGACCTTGGTATAATAATAAGGTATAAAACCTTATTGCAATTTCACCAGTTTTCATATCCTTTTGTATTTTGCTTTTGTTTCTTTTTTTGAGTATTCTATGAAAATGCATCAGAGTATACATGCATGTAACCACAACTACAATTAAGATAAAAACCTGATTCTTCATCCCAAAGAAACTCCCTCATGCTACCCCTTTGTAATGTCACCTCTCCATCCCTAATTCCTTTCAATCTTTGATCTGTTTTCCATCACTAAATTTGATCATTTTCTTAGGTTACATAAATGGAATAATAGAATGTGTAGTGTTTTGAGGTTATGACTCACCAAATAGAAAATATCAATTAAAAGCAAGCAATTTTTAAATTTTTATTTTAATTTCCGGGGTACATGTGCAGGATATGCAGGCTTGCTACATAGGTAAACGTGTGCCATGGTGATTTGCTGCACCTATCAACCCATCAGCTAGTTATTAAGCCCAGCACACATTAGCTATTTTTCCTGATGTTCTCCCTCCCCTGACTCTCCCCATTGTTGTTCCCCTCTCTGTATCCATGTGTTCTCATTGTTCAGCTCCCACTTGTAAGTGAGAACATGTGGTGTTTGGTTTTCTGTTCCTGCACTAGTTTGCTGAGGTTAATGGCTTTCACCTCCATCCATGTCCCTGCAAAGCACATGATCTCATTCCTCTTTATGGCTGCATAGTATTCCATGGTGTATATGTACCGCACTTTCTTTTCTTTTCTTTTCTTTTTCTTTTTCTTTTTTTTTTTTTTTTTGTTTTTGAGACGAAGTCTCACTCTTGTCCCCCAGGCTGGAGTGCAATGGCATAATCTCGGCTCACTGCACCCTCCACTTCTGGGTTCAAGAGATTCTCCTGCCTCAGCCTCTTGAGTAGCTGGGATTACAGGTGCCTGCCACCATGCCTGGCTAATTTTTGTATTTTTAATAGAGACGTGGTTTCACCATGTTGGCCAGTCTGGTTTCGAACTCCTGACCTCAGGTGATCCGCCTGCCTCGGCCTCCCAAAGTGCTGGGATTACAGGCATGAGCCACTGCATCTGGCCTACCACATTTTCTTTATCCAGTCTATCACTGATGAGCATTTGGGTTGATTCTATGTCTTTGTTATTGTGAATAGTGCTACAAGGAACATACCCACGCATGTATCTTTATAATAAAATGATTTCTATTCCTTTGGGTATATACCCAGCAATGGGATTGCTGTGTCAAAGGGATTTCCTTGGCACATCTCCACACTGTCTTCCACAATGTTGAACTAATTTACATTCCCACCAGCAGTGTAAAAGCATTCCTATTTCTCTGCAGCCTCATCAAAGCTAGCAATTATTTTTAAAAGGAAAGAATAAAGAAAAATAATTTAAAAAAGGTTTTTCTCTGAACAGAACCTCAAACATCTGTGGAACATCATCAAGCATACTAATATATGTATGAGGGGAATCCTAGAAAGAGAAGAGAAAGAAAAGGGGTAGAAAGCACATGAAGAGAGAATGGACAAAATGTTCCAGATATGATGAACAACATTAACTTACAGTGCCAAGAAACTCAACAAATTTCAAGATAGATGTCTGAAATTCTATCTCCCAATATCTCACTCTATGACTCTAGGAAATTCATTTCATCATTTTCTTTCAGAAAGGGATATGTGGTCTGATTTCTCAGTCAGTCAATCATTTTTGCTATGTATTCAAGGTGTGACACTCCTGAAGTGGGTTTTATCATACCCTCCTTATTATTACCCATCCCAGTCCCTTGATCTCTTACCCCTCACTGTCTTCTCCACTATCCTAGAAATAGGAATGTTGTACTTTAAGTTTGTTTAGGGACAGGAATGATGTGGAACTTTAAAAGAGTTGAATATGAGAAAGAACTAGAGATGAAATATTTAAAGAAAAATAAGAGTTCATATTGCTTTCTGTTGTTTATGGTGCTTGAGTAAGTTTTTCTTTTCTTTTTCCTGAGGATTGAGCAAGACATGCCGCCTGGATGGTCAGAAGAGGTAATTTATGCATCATATTTAGTGCGTTTAACTCTGGACTTGAGTCATTGTCTTGTTCAGAATTCACTAGAGATTGAGTTATGTTCCCATTGAGACACACACTCTCACCTGACCACTTGTGCTTAGGAAGAGAAGGGAACGTTTTTCTTAATCCTGGGTTGCTCATTGTCTCACGGACACCTGGGGATTGGATATATAGGAGAAGGCAGCCCCACTGGAGCAGTGCTAGGGAGGGCTGGGCTGAAGAAAGCTGGGTCCTCCTCACTTGCTCCTATGCGTTCCGTTTGATCCAGCAACCACATGATGGGAAAAATCTGTTCTCTCAAATGGAACAAATCCCTCTGTTGTCTCTAGAGGGTGCTCAGAAACCACTGATCCAGACACAAGCAGCTTCAGGACCTAAAGTGAAGAACACTGAAGATCCCAGGAAGGAATAGTGCAAAGAAGGAGAAGAGAGAGCTATGAAATAACAGAATACAGAGCAAAATCCCCCTGCCTTTGGGGAAAGAATCAGCCATCATGGACTCTCTGGCTTGGGCCACAGTATTGCAACCAGCATTTGGCCTTCATCTTCCAATATCTTTGGGGACAGAATTTATCTGTGCATTCCACAGCATCAGGTGCCAGTGGGGTAGCAGTATATGAGAATGAAGCGAAGCAAATATAACTTCCATGAAGTGTGCATCAATTTTGTATGTCACTGTGTTCAAAGTGCTTTACCACACATTATGTCTTGCCCCATAGCAATGCAACAGAATAAATTAAATTTTACTACATACATTTTATAGATGTGAAAGTTGAGTTGCAGAGAAGGTGAACAGCCTGCCCACAAAGAACATAGCTTTTTGGTATTAGAACAGATTCCAAATCCATGATCTCTTCAATATACCACCTAGACCTTTTCTCAGGCTCTGGGGAAGTTCACAATTCAATTCAGCAAGCATTGATTTACATACACAAAGCAAAATAGCAATGCACGATACAAAATTTTTGAATGCAACATATAAAGGTTTATAAAATCAAAGAATTTCATGGCTAAATGTGACCTCAGTGGCCATTTAGTCCAAAACACAAATCAGAGAGTGACTCTTCATCATACGTTAGAAGGGGCCTCTCCAGCTTTGGTTTGAATGTCTTCAATCTCATGGAAACTCCTACTTCAGAAATATATCCTTCCACTGATAAACTGCTCTGTTCGAAAGATTTTCCTCATCTAACCCTAAGTGTGTTCCCTGAAACTTCCAGCCGTGTCCTAAATCCATCCTTTGCAGCCACATAAGCACATGACCATTCTTCATTTTATATAACAGCTCTTCATATATTGTGTGCCCATTAAGCAAACCCCAGCCCTAGGATTTCTTATCTCAAGGTTATAGAAATAATCCAAATTCCAGCCGGGCGCTGTGGCTCACGCCTGTAATCCCAGCACTTTGAGAGGCTGAGTCGGGTGGATTGTCGAAAGTCAGGAATTCGAGACCAGCCTCGCCAACACAGTGAAACCCCGTCTCTATTAAAAATACAAAAATTTGCCGAGTGTGGTGGCAGGTGCCTGTGGTCCTAGCTGCTCAGGAAGCTGAGGCACGAGAATCGCTTGAACCCAGGAAGCGGAAGTTACAGCAAGTCAAGATTGCACCACTGCACTCCAGCCTGGGTGACTAAATAAAATAAAATAAAAATGTATTTAAAAAAGAAATAGGCCTGGCACAGTGACTCACACCTGTAATCCCAGGACTTTGGGAGGCCAAGTCGAGTGGATCACGAGGTCAGGAGATCGAGATCATCTTGGCCAACATGGTGAAACTCCATCTCTATTAAAAATACAAAAATTAGCCGGACATGGTGACATGTGCCTATAGTCCCAGCTACTCAGGAGGCTGAAGTACGAGAATTGCTTGAACACAGGAGGCAGAGGTTGCAGTGAGCCGAGATCATGCCATTGCACTCCAGTCTGGGCAACAAGAGTGAAACTCTGTCTCAAAAAAAAAAAAAAAATTGAAAGCAGGATGTGTACTCGTCTTCACAGCCTCAATACAGTGCACGATACATATAGGATGCTCAATAAGTGTTCCCATTCCTCCTTGGTAGTAATCTTGTCAATTTTTTTCACATATGTGTACCCAGCACCTAACCAAATTCTGATTATAGTTCTCAAAAAATATTTGTTGAATGAATGCCTGTGTCAGTAACTCCACATGAGGTAGGAGGCAGGCGGGACTCATCTCCAGACCAGACTGAAGACTGGCAGAAACCAGGAAGGGGTCCTGAAAGCACCTCCAGTTGCTCTCGCTGCCCATCCCTATAAGACACTACCACAGTTTACCGACACGTGGAGATGCCTGAAGTTACTACCCTTTGCCACGGCAATACCCAGAGAGTTATCACCCATTTTCTAGCTATTTCTGAGTAGAACTGCCTCTTAATTAGCATGTCATTAGAAGTAGATATAAATATGACCGCAAACCACCCATATGTTGTTACTCAGTTCACTGCCTATGCGATAGCTTTGCTCCACAAGGAGCAGTCACAGAGACTTGACACTGCTGCCACTTCAGTAAAGCTGCTTTCTTTCATCACCAGCCTGCTCTTGAATTCTTTTTTTAAGTAGGGACAGGATCTTGCTATGTTGCCCAGGCTGGTCTCGAACTTCTGGGCTCAAGCAATCTTCCTGCCTGGGCTTCCCAAAGGGCTGGGATCACAGGTGTGAGCCACCACGCCCAGCCTTGCTCTTGAGTTCTTTCCTGAGCAAAGCCAAGAATCTGCCCTGCATCGGTGATGAGTCAGCCAGGAGTGAAGAGAGGATGGTGGTCAGTGATTGATGAGGCAATGGTGAGAGATAATGGTTGGTGAGATAGTGAGAGATGGCAAGAGACAGCAAGCAGTGAGAGAGACAGCAAGAGGCAATGATCAGTGAGACAGCGAGAGATGGTGAGGAAATTGGTCATCAAAACTGCAAGAGCAGTAACACTAAGACTGTAATACCAAAGAGCTGCTAACACTGCAGAGAGGTGTAACATCAACCAAAGGCTCTTTTCAGAGCCATCATTTTCCTTCCTCCCTTCCTTCCTTCCTTCCTTCCTTCCTTCTTTCCTTTCTTTGTCTCTTTGTCTCTTTCTCCCTTTCTGTCTTTCTTTTCTTTTGAGATGGAGTCTTGTTCTGGTGCCTAGTCTGGAGTGCAGTGGTGCGATCTTGGCTCACTGCAACCTGCAACCTCCGCCTCCTGGATTCTCCTGCCTCAAGTGATTCTCCTGCCTCAGCCGCTCGAGTAGCTGATATTACAGGCACCCACCACCATGCCTGGCTAATTTTTGTATTTTTAGCAGATATGGGGTTCCACCATGTTGGACAGGCTAGTCTAGAGCTCCTGACCTCAAGTGATCCGCCCCCTTATGGCCTCCCAAAGTGTTGGGGTTACAGACGTGAGCCATCGTGCCTGGCCAGAGCCGTCATTTATCCTGGCAGGCAGTGGAGCCAAGAGGACAGGCAAGTGGCCAGAGCACCGCCTGATGTGGGACCTACCAGGTTGCTGATCTCCACACTTGTTCCCCTCTAGCAGCCAAGCCCACCCAAGCTGGGGGTCACCTAGGCAGGCCTTCACCCAGTTCCACAAGCCTGGCTGGCACCATTTTGGCTCCTGCAGACAGTTGTCTCCATTGCCAAGTAGGTTCTGTGGTGAATCCGAGCTTCCAAGGTCTCCCCTTGAGAAATGCTGTTCACCCCTTCCCTTCCTCCCTTCTGTGTTTACTTTCTGTTTAGCCCCTCTCTGCCCAAACTAAGATGCTTTCATTGCTCTCTGTAGAATTCACTCTCGTCATTCTACTACCCATTCATAGCTCATAATTGGCTTTTGTAATGCTTTGCTACCTATACTTACACCTTCTTTGCAAAAAGTGAAAATTTGAAAGGAAAATGTGACTAAGCTTTTGCTAGACTTAGACTAACTACAAAACTCCTGTAGAAATCCTTACTAGACATGGGGACAGCAGTGAGCATCCCATAGGCCTTGCCACCGGGATGTCTTTTAGGCAAGTGGAGGAAATTCAAATCTGATGATTTAAAGAGGAAAAAAACCTCATTTTCCATGGCAACACTGAGTCGAATACAAATTGGGGAATCAACAAATTTGGCCTAGAAATGGCTCTTTATGTTATAATGCTATTTTACAATTAGATTTATTCTGTAAAAAGAAAGGAAAATGGGGAGAAGTTCCTTATGTGCAGGCTTTATGGCCCTCTACCAAGATCCTGACCTAAGAGATAGCTGTAAAATGTGTCTGGCTCATAACACCTCTGGCACCAAGAAGCTACCCCAGATATCCTGGATTACCCCTTCCTAGCTGCTCCAGCTAGAACGCCTACAAGCCCGCCTTGGAGATTCCTCAGTCCTTCAGTTCTAAGAAGGTTCCCACCAGTTCTCTAGCACAGGATTCCACTCCAAGGTCATCAAGAACTTCTCCCCCTTATCCAACAGATCCCAGCCTATGCCCCCTGCTGCCCAAGGAAGCAAGCCCAACCAGTACCACCAGCAGTAGGGTCCCGTATCAGCCCCTCAAATCAAACCTGTGTCCGTATCAGCAGGTAGTTGACAGAGATGGTGGAAAAATCAGAATATATGTACCTTTTCCATGTCCAATTTGGCTTTATGCAAGAAAATGTGGCCAGTTTTCAGAGGATCCAGGGAAGTTTGTACAGGAGTTTGTTAAATTGGCCATGTCCTTTGATTTAAGGTGGCATGACATGCCAATATCATTATCCACTTGTTTTGCCATAGAAAAAAACAAAACAGGCTGGGCACGGTGGCTCAGGCCTGTAATCCCAGCAATTTTGGAGGCCAAGGCGGATGGATCACCTGAGGTCAGGAGTTCAAGACCAGCCTGACCAACATGGAGAAACCCCGTCTCTACTAAAAACACAATAATTATCTGGGCATGGTGATAGGCACCTGTAATCCCAGCTATTCAGGAGGCTGAAGCAGGAGAATCGCTTGAACCCGGGAGGCAGAGGTTGCAGTGAACCGAGATAGCGCCATTGCACTCCAGCCTGGGCGACAAGAGTGAAACTCAGTCTCAAAAAAAAAAAAAAAAGAAAAAGAAAAGAAAAGAAAAAAAGACTCTAGATACTGCCCACGAACATGCAGATGGAGTGGCTACTCGTAACCAAGGCCATACCATTTACTGTGTGGAGGGGGGTGAGGCAGTTCCAGATCAATTCCTAAGATCTTGAATGCAGAAATCACATACTAACTCATTTAATAGAAGGCATGAAAAAGTATGTGGTCAAGCCAGTTAATTATGACAAGATTAGAGAAATAACTCAGGGGAAAGATTAAAATCCTCTGACAGAAACACAATCCAGATCCTTAATTTTCTGGGAAAACAAGGTGATATGGTTTGACTGTGTCCCCAGCCAAATCTCATCTTGAATTGTAGCTCCCATAATTCCCACGTGTCATGGGAAGGACCTGGTGGGAAGTAATTGAACCATGGGGGTGGGTCTTTCCCATGCTGTTTTCATGATAATGAATAAGTCTTATGAGATCTGATGGTTTTATAAAGGGGAGTTCCCCTACACAAGCTCTCTTGCCTGCTGCCATGTAAGACATGACTTTGCTTCTCATTTGCCTTCTGCCATGAGTGAGGCCTCCCCAGCCATGTGGAACCGTGAGTTCATTAAACCTCTTTTCTTTATAAATTACCCAGTCTCAGGTATGTCTTTATATCTCACACATTAGCAGTGTAAGAACAGACTAATACAGAAGGGTACTGGGTATCTCCCCACAAGGCCCAAATTTCTGCCCAAAGGGTGAAGTATCTGAGATGTGTGTTTATTCCTGGGACAAAAACCTTAGCCCAGGAATAGAAAGAGACCATTCTGGCACTCCAGCCCACTCAGACTAAGAAACAGTTAAGTGCCTTTTTGGGAATGGCCAGATTCTGCCATATTTGTATTCCCAGGTTTGGGATCATATCAAAACCACTCTATAAAGCTCTAAAAGAGTGTGATCACAAGCCTTTGAATTGGGACAGAACCTCACAACAGGCATTCTTAACCCTAAAAGAAATGCTGGGAACATGTCCCAAACCTTTCACTCTCTATGTGACTAAAAACAAAGGACATCTTTGGGTGTTCTAGCTCAAAGGCTCAAGAATAATCCTAAACCAGTGGCTTACTTTTCTAAACAGCTAGGCCAGTTGGCAGCTGGGTGGCCAGGATGCTTTTGAGCTGTGCCCACCACTGCTCTGTTGGGGGAAAAAAACAAAAGGCAGTAAATTTACCTTGGAACAACAATTAGATGTCATTATCCTTCCCCCAACCAAATACAGGGGGTCCTAGAGGCAAAAGGACATCAATGGCTAACAGGTAGTCAGTTGTTTAAATATCAGGCCCTTCTGCTTGACACCACAGATGTTACCTTAAACTATGTCAGGTTTTAAACCTGCTACTCTGTTGCCAGACTTCACATCCCAAAAAGCAGATCCCCAGCTCATTTATTCCTCTGTGGAAACCACAGATCAGACCTATTCTAGCAGGTCTGACCTCAAAGATGAGCCCCTGCATAACCCTGGTATTGAGCGGTTTACAGGCAGGAGCAGCTTTATTCATGAGGGAGTAAGAAAGGCAGGCTGTGGTTGGGCATGGTGGATCAAGCCTGTAAGCCCAGCACTTTGGGAGGCTCAGGCAGGCAGATCACCTGAGGTCAGGAGTTTGAGACCAGCCTGGCCAACACGGTGAAACCCTGTCTCTACTAAAAATACAAAAATTAGCTGCACGTGGTGGCAGGAGCCTGTAATCTCAGCTACTCTGGAGGCTGAGGCAGCTATTCTGAATCACTTGAACCCAGGAGGTGGAGGCTGCAGTGAATCGAGATCATGCCAGTGCATCATGCCGCTGCACCCCAGCCTGGGTGACAGAATGAGACTCCATCTCAAAGAAAGAAAGAAAGAAGGAAAGAAAGGAAGGAAGGAGAGAAAGAAAGAAAGAAAGAGAGAGAGAGAGAAGGAAGGAAGGAGAGAGAGAGAAAGAAAGAAAGAAGGAAAGAAAGAAAGAAAGAAAGAAAGAAAGAAAGAAAGAAAGAAAGAAAGAAAAAGAAAGAAAAGAAAGAAAAAGAAAGAAAGAAAGAAAAGGCAGTTTATGATGTGGTTATCCAGCAAGAAGTCATGGTAGCCAAAGACTTACTTTTCCAGATTTCCACTCAAAAAGCAGAATTAATTACTCTAATTAGGGTCCTCCAATTGAGAAAAGACTTAAGAGTGTATATATACATATATATAGACTTAAGAGAGTGTGTGTATGTATATATATTTACTCTTAGGTATATAAAAAATATACTTTTTTTTACTGCAAGAGTCAATATATTTACTAATTTCAAATATGGGTTCCTGGTACACCATGCTCATGTGGCCATATGAAGAAAAAAGGAGACTATTAACAGCCAAGGTATCCCCCATATAACATCTCTCTGAGATCTTGGAATTTTTAGCTGCTGTTCAGCTCCTAAAGGAGACAGCAGTTATCTACTGCAAGGGACATCAAAAGGAGACACCTCGATTATCAGAGAAAATGCTCTGGCAGACAGGGCAGCCAAGGCCACAACTGAAAAAAATACCAGCATTACAGGTCACTGCATTAATACCAGGCACTCCACACGTGTCAGTGGCACCCTACAATACCCTTGAAAAAATTAAGTGGGCAGAACAGAAAGGCTTACAAAAAGACCCCTCAGGGTGGTTGCCAGAAAGCAACAAACTCTTTCTCCCTGGAGCTAAGCAGTTGAAAATAATGAAATATTTCCATGACTCTTCACATTTGGGACAGGAATCTATTCAAATTGGCTTCTCAAATCTTGGGAAAGAAACTGTTCTAGACCATGGGAAAAAAAAAAGTCATCAGGGCCTGGGGACTTTGTGCCCATAACAGGCCAGGAAGCCACCCCATGCCGCCACCCTACTCAAACCTATAGAACACTGAGAAACATACCTTGGGGAAAACAGGCAAATAGATTTCACCCAGATGCCACTTTATAGGGAACTAAAATATTTGCTAGTATTCATATGCACTTTCACTGGGTGGATAAAAGCTTTCCCTAGAAAGACCAAAAAATAAAAAAAAATATATAAAAGCATTAGAAATGTCCAGATTCTTACTTAAAGAGATCATCCCAAGATTTGGGTTACTAAAATATTTGCAAAGTCATAACGGACCTTCCTTCACAGCTAAGGTGACCCAGCAGTTTTCCTTAGCTTAGACATTACCTATCATCTTCACTCCTCCTGGAGGCCTCAATACTCTGGGAAGGTAGAAAAAGCCAGCCATATTTTTAAAAGGACATTAGCAAAACTCTCGAGAGACCTCAGAGGCCCAGTTCCTCTCCTACCCATAGCCCTTTTGCTCCAAAGGAAACCTTAAAGCTTAGTCCATTTGAAATGACTTAATGGAAGTCCCTTGTTAACTTTAGACCTCCTGTTTGATGAAGAGACACATAGATTGTTCACCCACATTGTCAACTTAGACGAGATTCAAAAGGCCCTTCAAGAATATGGAAATGTAGTATTGCCTCCTCCCACAGGGGAAAAAAATAAACTCTCCCATTCAACTAGGAGACTTAGTCTTACTGAAACCTTATAAAGATGGATCCTCTGAGGATCAATTACAACCAAAATAGAAAGGTCATTATCAGGTGGTATTGAGTACCTGCACTACTGTTAAACTCCAGGAAATAACTGGTTGGGTACCAAGATTAGACCTGTTTCTTATGAGTCACATGTGCAAAAGGAGGATACCACAGCCTACATCTGTGAACCTTTGGAGGACCGCCACTACCTATTTAAAAGAATCAACACTCAGCCAGAAGTGGTAATGAGATACTGTGGGTGGGAATTGTCCTTTTTTGTCTCTCTTCTTCCTGTCTGTAATACCTCTTTTCTTTTTTTTTTTTTTTTCTTTTTTCTTTCTGAGGCAGGGTCCCTCTCTGTCACCCAGGCTGGAGTGCAGTGGCATGATCATGGCTCACTGCAGCCTTGACCTCCCAGGCCCAAGCAATCTTCCCACCTCAACCTCCTGTGTAGCTGGGTCTGCAGGTGCATTCCACCATGCCCAGCTAATTTTTTATTTTTATTTTTATTTTGTAGAGATGAGGTTCCATGATGTTGCCCAGGCTGGTCTTGAACTCCTGGGCTCAAGCGATCCTTCCACTCTGGCCTTCCACTCTGCTGGAATTATAGGCATGAGCCACTGTGCCCAGCCATAATACTTCTTTTCTAATGCTTTGTCCAACTGCCTCCTCCTGAGAAACATGTATTTTTTCCTTGCTGGGATATAGTTTGGATGTGTGTCCCCACCCTGCCTCTGGTCCTAATTTTATTATACAATCCATTTATCCTTTCTCTCTGCCTTGGTGCATCCTCAGATTTGATTAGAGAGCCATCACTGCTCTCAAAAGAAACAATGATCAAAAGGTTGAACTGCACAAAGTCAAAGCCAGGACTCCTTAACTGAGACCATTTTTCCAGGCTGACATGGGCCCATTAGTCAACATTCTCAGGACACAGCCCTTCAGTTATGATTGCACTTAGCAGTAGTGCCACCAGCATTTTGCCATTTGTTCACAGAGACATAATGAGATTTTGGTAAATGCCTCATGAAAATCCACATGCTCCATGGGTCCAGTAATCCCCTCAGTCATTCATAAATAAACAAACAAATAAATAAGGTGATTTTGGTACAATTTGTTCTTTGTAAACGTCTGATGCCTCTTTGTGAGCACTGTTTTATTTTCGAAGTCCTCATGTACCATCTTCTTGATGTTCCTGTCTATAAACTCTCCTAGAATTTCCACCAAGCTCACCAACTTATAGCTTATGACTTCGATTTTCTTTCTCTATTTGGAAATGAAAATGTTTTCCTGTATCCTGACCCTCCCCAATCTCCTCAATGTCTCTAAGACCCTCTAAGCTGTTCAAAGAGATTAAGCTCCCCTAGGACCCTCACATGTTAAAAAAAAAAAAAAAAGTTAATAATGTGAGAGAAGTGCTTACAATATCTATGACTCAAGGTAGCATGGGTGTTGTTTGTCCAACATCCTTTACTCTGAGGATCTGCAGCAGACTGTGTTAGCAACTCAATGCCATCCTCCCTTCTATGCTCTTCCATGTATCAAAGGGGCCAGAAACCTGTGACTGTGAGCCACATATCCCAGAATCTCTGAAAACTAGAGTCTGCCAGTGTGAGGAATTTACACAAGTTTTGGAAGACCAGAATTAGATAGGTAAGTAGGAAGGTAACTAGGAAGGTAGATGATTGATAGACAGAGAATCACTGCTCCTTTGGAAACAGCAAGAAGATATGCGAACTTCAGTAGACATGAGACTCAGAGAGGCCTCTAGGCATTTTCCTGTGACTCACTCACCACAGTACTGAAGATACCTGCCATTGCCAGCAGTTTCCTGGGGCCCTCCACCTTCCTGTTTCCTTGAAAACTAGCAGCATACAAAGATTAGTTGTGACCTTTCCTGATTTATTTCCCTCTGCCCCTTACTGTAGTTTTAGAAGCATCTAATGCTCTGTTTTAAATCCCGTGCTACTTGTAAAACATGTAGTATGCTCTATTTTCCTAAGCTCTGACTTACATAGGAATCCCCACCTCCCCTCAACAACCAACTCCACCCCCACTTTATGAAAACCTCACAGCGTGCTAAAAATCATGTTCCCTTTTGTTTCAACCCAGAGCATGAGGCTGTCTGGCCAGTGATTGGCCCAGAAATAATCATTGAAACTAATCAGGGAGCTGGGCGCGGTGGCTCACGCCTGTAATCCCAGCACTTTGGGAGGCCGAGGCGGGCGGATCACGAGGTCAGGAGATCGAGACCATCCTGGCTAACACGGTGAAACCCCGTCTCTACTAAAAAAAAAAAAAATACAAAAAATTAGCTGGGCGTGGTGGCGGGCGCCTGTAGTCCCAGCTACTCTGGAGGCTGAGGCAGGAGAATGGCGTGAACCCGGGAGGCGGAGCTTGCAGTGAGCCGAGATCGAGCCACTGCACTCCAGCCTGGGCGACTGAGCAAAACTCCGTCTCAAAAAAAACAAAAAAGAAACTAATCAGGGAAAGGCAAAAGAGTACCTTAAGGTTTGATCTTAGGTGGCTGGAAAACAGCAAATCTCCCCTCCTTTTGCAAAACGCCCTGTTAAGGATGGAGGGTTAGGAGTGCCAGTCGCCATCGACCTGCTGCAGTCAGAGCTCCTGCGGGAAAAGAAGGTGGATGGATCTGAAATATGGAGAGAAAGACGGTGTCCTGCCATTGTTTAAGTCCCTAGGTCCACCCTCGTCGATGTCCACCTTTGCCTGGCATCTGGAATATAAGATTGTTTTTTGGGTGCTGTCCTAGGACACCTAGTGTATTAGTTTTCTAGGGATGCCGTAACAAAATACCACAGACTGCATGACTTAAACAACAGAAGTTTGTTCGCTCACAGTTCTAGAGACTGGAAGTCCACGATGGAGGTGTCAGTAGGTTTGGTTTCTCCTGAGGCCTCTCTTTATGTCTTACAGATGGTCACTTTCATGCTGTGTTCTCACACGGCCTTTTCTCTATAGGTGCATCCCTGGTATCTCTTTTTTTTTTTTTTTTTTTTGAGACAGAGTCTTGCTCTGTTGCCAGGCTGGAGTGCAGTGGTGCAATGTTGGCTCACTGCAACCGCCGCCTCCCAGTTCAAGCAATTTTTCTGCCTCAGCGTCCCGAGTAGCTGGGACTACAGGTGTGTGCCACCATGCCCAGCTAATTTTTTTTTATTTTTAGTAGAGACGAGGTTTCACCATGTTGGCCAGGATGGTCTCCATCTCCTGACTTCGTGATTCCCCCGCCTTGACCTCCCAAAGTGCTGGGATTACAGGCATGAGCCACCTCGCCTGGCCTCTTCTCTTCTTTAGAGGGACACCAGTCATATTGAATTAGGGCCTCTCCTTCATGGCCTTGTAGATTCTTTTTTTTTTTTTTCTTTGAGAGGTAGTCTCACTCTATCGCCCAGGCAGGAGCGATGGAGAATGGGTTTCACCATCTTAGCCAGGCTGGTCTTGAACTCCTGACCTCGTGATCCATCCTCCTCATCCTCCCAAAGTGCTGGGATTACAGCCGTGAGCCACTGTGCCCGGCCTGGCCTTGGAGATTGTTAGTAGGAAAATTCATATCCCCCACTTCTCATGTCTGCATATGCTAGGACTGCAACTGGAATATTTTTGAGCGCTTTAAAGGCCCTACTTCCAAATATGGTCATAATGGGGGGTCAGAACTTCAACATGTTAATTTGGGTGGGTGAGAGGCACAATTTAGTTTGTAATATCTACTATCCCACAGATGTAAACGACACACACCAAACATTCATCTATATCTCCCTCAGTTCTGAACTAGGTAGCAAATGAAAATAACATTTTTCAGGACACCAAGACCCTTCACATAGACCAAGGTAAGGCATATGAATTTAATTCCAAATACAATAAGAAAATTTCAGAGTTTAAGCAGAAAAGTAACACAATCTGATTTATAAGGATTACTCTGGCCATTGCATAGAACATCTGTTTTAAATTACTAAGTCTTTTTCAAGCCTATGTGACAAGATTCTGTTCTAAGTGCCTTAAAATGGTATGTTTTGTCCTCACTACCACTCTATGAGATTATTATCCTCATTTTGCAGATAAGGAAACTATGATTCAGGCAAGTGAAATTACCTCCCTAAGGCCACAGAGCCACTATCTGCCAATGCCAGAGTTCACACCCACTATGTTTAACTCAGTTAAATGTGAACCTGGCATAGAAACACATTTATGCAGTTGCTTCAAAAGTAAGGGAAGATACACAAGAAACTATCAACAATATCTGTCTCTGGATGATGAGTTTTTTTAGGCATAATGCAGTGTGAAGAAGTAGCAAATAGAAGTTAAGAGCTGTGTTGTGGAATTTATAGATAATAATAACTAAACATGGGCATAAGCATGACTATTTTCCAGGCACTATTCTGAGTGTTTCACAGGTGTGAGCTCCTTGAATTCTCAGAACAGATCTGCCTGCCCTGGGAAGTCCGTTCTTTTTCTTCTAATGAACCTTGCTGGGATAAGTTATGTTGTCCTAACAAGACAGGATAGAAATACTACTGCTACCAATTATATTAATATCAGCTATTAGCTATGAGAGAGCAGGTACTATTATAAGCATTTAGCCTCTATTAGCTAATTTAATCCTTGCAACAGCCCATTGTCACTATTAAGATCTCCAGTTTTCGGCCGGGCGCGGTGGCTCACGCCTGTAATCCCAGCACTTTGGGAGGCTGAGGCAGGCGGATCACGAGGTCAGGAGTTTGAGACCAGCCTGACCAACATAGTGAAACCTCATCTCTACTAAAAAAAAAAAATAGAAAAATTAGCTGGGCGTGGTGCTGTGTGTCTGTAATCCCAGCTACTTGGGAGGCTGAGGCAGGAGAATGGCGTGAACCCGGGAGGCGGAGCTTGCAGTGAGCCAAGATCGCAACACTGCACTCCAGCCTGGGCGATAGAGCGAGACTCCGTCTCAAAAAAAAAAAAAAAGAAAATCCCTAGTTTTCAGAAGAGGAGCTGAGGCACACGGCTATATGGCTTGCCCAAAGACATAAAGTTAGTAAGTTGTAAAAGAAGATTTTGAACGAGAGTGTGGTTCTAATGTCTAAGCACACTTCAGTCTACTGGGAGAGAGAATTTGAAACTCAAGTCAGCCCAACCAGTTGGGTCCTTATCCTCTGTAACAGTTGAACCAACTGAGGCATAGGGAGATTAAGTAACTTGTCCAAATGAGCAGGTCATAGAACAAGCTGTGCAACTCTGGGCAAGTCACTTAAGCTCTCTTGGTCTTGGGCTCATTAGTTGTAGAATGGGTAAGTGATAATATGCACACAAGTTTGGGTGATAATTAAATGACGGCTGGGTGCAGTGGCTCACGCCTGTAATCCCAACACTTTGGGAGGTCAAGGCGGGTGGATCACCTGAGGTCGGGAGTTCGAGACCAGCCTGACCAACATGGAGAAACCCCGTCTCTACTAAAAATACAAAATTAGCCAGGCGTGGTGGCACATGCCTGTAATCCCAGCTACTCAGGAGGCTGAGGCAGAAGAATTGCTTGAACCTGGGAGGCAGAGGTTGTGGTGAGCTGAGATCATGCCATTGCACTCCAGCCTGGGCAACAAGAGTGAAACTCCATCTCAAAAAAAAAAAAAAAAAAAGATAATTAAGTGACGTAAATATACATAAGGCTCTAGACTTACTTCCTGCCATATAGTTGGTGCTTAAAATAGTTTCTATTGATAGTTTGAGTCTTAAAATGAGCATATATTCCTTTAAAACCTACAAAAACAACAAAACATTTATATTTTGAGTTGAACCCTAACATGTCATTTCTCTGAGCAACGAGACTTGAATGCATTTAATAGAGCATGACATTCTCTCACTGTATCTTCATTTCTCTTGGATTTTTATTTCCTCTGACCAATTTTAACACCTGCCCTCCTGACATGATGATTGATTTTCCTGGCAGAGAAGACAGAGACAAAGAGGACTACGGTTAGGGGTGGTACTTCTCCTGTGGGCTTTTTGTACCAGACTAAAAATAGCTTTTTCACACATCTGTGCTGCTTGCAGGCTTTTGTTTCCTGACCCTCTTCAAAAGGACTCCAGCCTGCTTGCCCCACCTGTTCACCATTTGGACACATTCTCTTTGTGTCCTAACTCTCAGAAGAGCTCACCAAGAGAGCACATTGACCTCTTTACACAACAACCCTTCCTACCTCTCTCTGTCCTTCCTCACCAGGACTATTTATACCTTTTAAACAAGATTTCAGTCTTGAAAAGGGCCTTTTCTGGCACTCACTGTCTATTCACTTATTTCATTCATTTAAGCAGCATGCCCCGAATGCGCCCTGTGATATTTGCCAACATGACTTCCACTACTAACAATGGTAATAGTCGCTTCCATCTTGCCAGCGCATACGATGTGGCAGATGCTGTGCTATGCGCTGTATATGCATTCTCTCGTTTAATCCCCTAAAAACTCTAGGATGCACATACTATTACTGTCCTCCATAAACAATGGGGAAAAATGTGAGACTTAACTCAGTGAAGGTTAAGTAACTTAAGTGAGGTTAAGTAACTTCCTTGAAGCCATAGCAAGTGGCACAGCCATCCACTTTTCTCGATCCCACTTTTGTCTTTCTGGCTCAGGCCACCACCCATCCTCTGGACTAGTTCATCAGCCTCCTAACTGGGCTGCCAGCTCCAGCCTTGACCCCCTGCAAACTATTCTCTACACAGGCACAGTAAAGTTTTAAAAACACATGTCAAGCTATTCCCTTGCTTAAAACCCTTCAATGGCTCCTCCCTTCTCTTGGGATAATGTGCTAAGTCCTTATATGGCTTTGAACCCTCAGATCTCAAGCCTTCATTTATTTCCCATATTCTACGTTCCAGCTATATTGGACTTTATTTGTCCCCAGGCCTTCCACTGTCTGTTCCCTCAGTTGTAACACTCTTCCTTGCTTTCCACTGTCATTCCTGGGAGAAAATAAAGGCATCTCTCTTGCTTCCCCGCCCCATAATTCCTCCAGAAGCACATAAATTCCTCAGTAATTTCATGCATTTATAAGGTTTCTATTACATCATTTATTTCATCACAACCCCCTACAGATGAGGGAGCTGACCTCAAGCAACCTTCTCAAAATCAGAGTTCTAGCAAGAGGCAGAGGTGGGATGCAAATGCATATGTCTCTCTGACTCGACACTGTGATCTTTCCTCTGATCTTTGTTGCCATGACGTTTTTTGAGGTTAAAAACAACAGTAGATAAATGAGTCTGGACGGGGGGAATTGTCAGTGAGGCTGAAATTAATCCAATCAGCTAGGGGAAAGGAATCTTATCCTATGCCTTTGGGGGTGGGAAGGTCAGGAGTTGGGCTCCAGCTGCAGAGTGGGTTTCTGCTTTCCAAATTAGGGTCTTTTCCTTGCCTACCTTTGTGTGGCTATAATCATAGAAGCTGTTTTATTAACGCCCTTGGTAAAGCCCAGCAAGATGATACATCCTTAGCAACAAAGGGTTAGCTGGGGCCAGTCCTACGGAGTCAGAGTCTCACAAGGGACACTTGGAGGAGAGCAGAAAGGAAATCCACCAAGGAAGCGGCGATCCTGAGAAACCAAGGTTCCAGAAATGGGCTTCAGAGGATTCTTACCACCTCTCCCCCATCTCTCCTCAACCCAGCCCTCACCCATTCACTTGGGGAAATTAGGGAGGTTTGATAATAACTACAACCAGCTCCTCCTAATTAATTGCCAGGTCTCAAAAGTCACTGGTGCCTAGTGGTATGATAAAAGGCTTAGTGTCTTTTATCTGTCTTGGGCCCCACCCAGTTTGGCATTCTTTAAAGCATGCTCAACACACATCATACAGCTTGATCTTTATATAAGCCTCCTAAAAGCAGAGCTTTTTTGTTTACCTCTGCCTCACATGGAATTTTCCCCTTTGTTGTTTTTATTATCTAAGCGATACATATTTATTATGAAAGAAATAGGCCAACAGAAAAGCAATGACTCAAACCACCATCAGCTTGGCATTGTGACTGATGACCAAATCTGCCACTACAACAGAATGCCAAAAACCTCCTGCCAGATGGTAAACAACTAGAAGAACCAAGTCTGCAGCCGTGCATGGTAGGAAGGCACGGATTGGGGAGTAGCCCCAGTTTGGACTTGGACTTGGAACCAAATTCCGCGCTGTGCGAACTGTGCAGAAATTCTTACTCAGACCGTTGGAACAATAAGGACATCTGTTGGCCCACATAGCAGGAAGCTTCAGGATTGGCTTTATCCAGTGGTCTCTGTGATGCTCCTGGCCATTCCCACCGCTGCACCAGTGTCACGCACAAGCTTCTTGTGAGGTGGCTGCAGTATCCCCAGAACTCATATCCACACACAGCAATGTCAGAGGATCAAACTGGCTCCTGCTGATGCTTTCTCCAGAGAGAGAGGACAATATCTGCAGAAGCCCCAGAAAATTTCCCCTTGCACCTTTTTTATTCAAAACGTACGCTCATTTCTGAACTAATCCCTACAGCTGGCAGGATGCTCTGCACTAATTGGCTTAGGCCTGAATTCTCCCACTGGAAATGGAGATGTGATTTCTGTGACTAGCTCACATTAATCAGGCCCCACCCCTGCAGATGGTGTGGGGTAGACATTGCAATGTCAATAGCAATTGTCTGGCCTTGAACAGGTTATTTAACTCCTCTGAGCATCAATGTCCCCACTTAGAAAATGGGAATAGTCAGACAGTTTTGGTGGTGGACAGTATCTGAGATAATTTATGTGAAATGACAAAATTTGATGCTGAACACTTAGGGGATGAGTAAGCGTGTTAGTTCACTTTGCATTGCCGTAAAGGATTCCCTGAGACTGGGTGATTTACAGAGAACAGAGATTTATTTGGCTCACGGTTCTACAGACTGTGCAATAAGCATGCTGCTGGCATCTGCTTCTGGTGAGGGCCTCAGGAATCTTACAATTATGGCAGAAGATGCAGGTGGAGCAGGTGGTGTCACATGGCAAGAGCGGGAGCAAGAAGGAGAGGAGGAGATGCCAGGCTCCTTTAAACAACCAGATCTCCAGTGAACTCATTATTGCAGGGAGGACACCAAGTCATTCTTGAGAGATCTGCCCACGTAATTCAAACATCTCCCACTCCCACTAGGCCCCACCTCCAACATTGGAGATCACATTTCAACATGAGATTTGGAGGTGGCAAACATTGAAACTATATCCATAAGTGAATAAATGTTTGATAAAATCCATTAATTAATTAATGGTAACTTTAGGTAGCAATAAGCAAATAAAGGTACATTTCCTCATCCCCTTCTGGCTGGACCTTTTGGCAGGCGATGACTTAAGAAGGTCCTTGAATCAGGCATGGTGGTGCATGCCTGCAGTCCCAGCTAGTCAGGAGGCTGAGACGGGAAGATCACTTGAGCTCAGGAGTTCCAGGCTGCAGTGTGCCATGATCATTCCTATAAATAGCCACTGCACTCCTGCCTGGACAACAGAGCCAGATCCTGTCTGTTAACTTTTTTTTTTTTTAATTTAAAAAAGAAAGTCCTTGAAACAGAGTTAAGCATGTCAAAAGTTTGCCAGAGAAAGCCCCAACTTTAGCAACCAAACCTGGCTTGTTAGATGGTAGAGAGATGGGGCTCTGTGTTGAGACTTCCTGGGTTTGAATCCAGAACCTTCAAATTACTGGCCAGGTGACCTTTGAAATGTGACCTCCTCTCCCCAAGCCTCAGTTTTCTCCTCTGTGAAATGGGTCAATAAAAGGCAACCTTCATTGAACACAATGTATTGGACAGACATTATTTTAAACATTTCACAGGTAGAATTTTATTAAATCCTTTCCACAACCTCATCAGCTTGACACTTTTATTACCTCATTATAAAGATAAGAAAACTAGGTCATGGGGAGATTAAGCTACTTGCCTAAATGTGGAGCCAGGACCTTAACACAAATAATCTAGCTTCAGAGCATGCATTCATAATAATTAAATTCTACTGCCTCTCAGTAATAATAGTAGACACCTCAGGGGCTTTTTGTGGTGATAAATGACATAATACATATGCAATGCTCAGGAGGCTCAGCAACAGTAGTATAATTGCTAATAATAATATTAGTAATTATTATTATTACTATGTGGAGGTAAATGATGTTTCCACATAAGCTCAAAACTTCCACCCCATTGTCAGAAAAATCTTCGCCATAGAGTTGATGTACTTACAGGATTCTACTAGTTCCCCTGTTTCCAAAGAAAAACTTCAGCTTTCCCTGATCCATCCCCCAACCCCCATCCTTCCTGCCCCACCGTGCACAGGGATGAGGCTGCTCACCCAGGTCTCTGTGACTCTGTTCATGTCATTACTTGTGATGGAACAACAGCTCTCTTCCCACCGTGCTCATGGGCAAACTCCTTTTCCTTCTGCAGAAAAACCACTCCTTCTTCTATGCCCTGGGGTCACTGGGGAGAGCTCTCCACTAACTTGAGCTGTAATCACTTTCAGTTGCACGTGTCTGTCTCCCTCGTGGAGATGGGATGGAGCACTATGTTTAGCCATTTTTCTTTCTCCAGTGCTTGATACAAAGCTGGCATATAATATAAACTCAGTGAATGTTTGTTGAATGAATCAGTGACTCACAATTAGGATGAGTACACGCTGAGTACTGAGTGTATATCAGGAAGCATCCTAGGTGCCTTATGTGCTGCATTACAGTTATAGTTACAACGGCACACATGTAATTTAGATGAAAAAAGAGGGAATCCATAGAACCTGATTGGTGGTTATATAGCGTTTGCTTTATGAATATATAATATAGTACATTTTATTCAGTCTTCCATTTGTTTTATTCATTTTCTATATGCATGATGTCTCAAATTTTGCTTATTTTAATTCATTTTTCAAGCTTCAAACTAAAAAGTTGATGGCAAAAAAAAAATCCCAATGAGAAAATCATAAAATTAAATAAAGCCTTTAAAAATATTTATTTATTTTAGAGACAGGGTCTTCCTGTGGGGTACAGTGGCACAATCATAACTCACTGCAGCCTCAACCTCCTGGGCTCAAGCGATCCTTGCTCCTCAGCCTCCCTAGTAGCTAGGTCAACTGGTATGTGCCACTGTGCCCAGCTCATTTTTAAAACATTTTTTGTAGAGACAGGATATTGCTTTGTTTCCCAGGCTGGTCTCAAACTACCAGCCTCAAGTGATTTTCCAGTTTCAGTCTCCTAAAGTGCTGGGATTACAGGCATGAGCCACTGCGCCTGACTAAATGTAGCTTTTTAAATGATTTTTTTTGAGACAAAGTCTCGCTCTGTAACCCAGGCTGGAGTGCAGTGGTGCGAACGTGGATCTCTGCAGCCTCGACCTCCTGGGCTCCAGCAAGTCTCCTACCTCAGCCCCGCAAGTAGCTGGGATTACAGGTGCATGCCACCACTCCCAGCTAATTTTCGTAGAGATGGGGTTTTGCCATGTTGCCCAGGCTGCTTCCAAACTCCTGAGTTCAAGCAATCTGCCTGCCTTGGCCTCCCAAAGGGCTGGGATTACAGGCATGAGCCATTGCATGCAGTGTGATATTTGGAAATATTAAAATATGTCATTAAATCTTAACATTTGTTTTAATTATGGCTTAAAATGCAAATGTCATTAATAAATGTTTTTTAAATGTTTGAAAGACATTTTGGAAGTGCTGACTGTGGTGAATCTGAGAGAGAGAGTATCATTGAAATAGGACCTGAACTCTTCAGTAATGATTTAGTCTCTTACTCTTTTGCATTAGAAGTATTTTCAGTTAAGTGGCCCCCATCACTGCGTGTGAATGGTTTTTCTCTTAAGTATGGGGAAACTTTGGGATGAAAACCAACCCTGAATTATTCTTGCTGTCTGGGAAAAACTACATGGACATTAAAATGTTAGATCATCTGAAGAAGGTAAATTTTGACCTCTCTAATCATTTCTTACTGACCTCTTTCTCAATAAAACTTCACTGAGATGGGAAAAATCTATTTGGTTGGTGCAAAAGTAATTGCGGTTTTTGCTATTTAAAAGTAATGGTGTGGCTGGGCGCAGTGGCTCACGCCTGTAATCCCAGCACTTTGGGAGGCTGAGGTGGGTGGATCACCTGACTTCAGGAGTTCAAGACCAGCCTGGGCAACATGGTGAAACCCCATTTCTACTAATAATACAAAAATTAGCTGGGCATGGTGGCACATGCCTGTAATCCCAGCTACTCCGGAGGCTGAGGCAGGAGAATCGCTTCAACCTGGGAGGCAGAGGTTGCAGTGAACCGAGATCGTGCCACTGCACTCCAGCCTGGGCGACAGAGCAAGATTCCGTCTCAAAAAAAGAAAAAAAAAAAAGGAATGGCGAAAACTGCAATTACTTTTGTACCAACCTAATGGTAACAGAATTGAATTTCCGGCTAAAGCCCACTCCCACCTGGACTCTTGTGAACCGTTCCTCATTCTGAGCAGCTTGTCCGGATCATTCATTCAGGGCTTAGCAAAGGAGTTTGTGTTGTTAAGCAGCTTTTTGTTTTGTCCACCTTTTCTACTCATACTCTCACCTGCTGGAAAGTGAGTTCCTGAAGAAACCCTGTCTTCTTCACCTCTGTATCCCCAGCCATTTCCCAGATGCCTGGACAGCAGAGGTGCCCAATCAGTGGGTGCTGACTGAACCAGACTCAATGAAGCAACGGCTGCCATAGGCCACGTCGGAATTCCTTTCTCCACCGTTAACAGCCCACATCATTTAGGGCCTGAGAGTGAGTTTGCGGAGCTGCTTGGACAAACCAAAAGAAAGCCGGGGCCAGAAAGAAACTCAGACATCATCTGGCTTACATTTTAATCTTGCAACTGAGAAAAGGTAGACTCTCAGCAGGTAAGGGTATCATTCATTTGACATATCTGGTAAGCAATGAAGTTGAGACTAACCCTAGTGCCACTTGGCTTCCAGCCCAGGCTCCTTCCCCTTTGTCATCAGGCTTTCCTGCTCCGAGGGATGTATGCCACCCCTTTTATACTGGCACAGAACGTTTCCAAGCTGTGAAGCATCGTGCCATCTCCAGGAAGAGGAGCCTGCTCCCAGCCTGGCTTAAGAGAGCTCATTTTTCACTTACAGCTCCTGGCAATAAACAACTCAGGCGCAACGGGATGTTTCTTACAAGGAGCAGCCGTGCAGTGATTGCTCCACTCTGAGGGTCTGACTCAGCCCTTCCTCAGCTTCTGGGCTTATTTTAGCCCCACGTTTCTGGAGGAGGAAACGAGAACATGATCAAGGATGCCGTGGGAAGAGCCTGGGGCCCTCCAGTTCTCTCGGGGAGCCTCGGGAAGCTCCTCGCAGTTTCAGCTACTGTAGAAATTCACAGCCAAGGGCTCCTACAGAATTGGGCTGTCAGCCTGGCCAGCCTGGGCGGGTGGGCCCCGCTGTAAGAAAGCCTGCCATTTGGAAATGAGAATTAGAGCAAAAGGATACATTTGAGGTTGATTATTGACCTGGGAAAGAGTTTCTTTCCCTTCTTTACTAAATGTGGGATAGTAGAAAGAACAAGTCGAGGCCAGGCGCGGTGGCTCATGCCTGTAATCCCAGCACTTTGGGAGGCTGAGGCGGGTGGGTCATGAGGTCAGGAGTTCGAGACCAGCCTGGCCAACATGGTAAAACCCTGTCTCTACTAAAAATGCAAAAAAAAAATAGCGGGGCTTGGTGGCACACACCTGTAATCCCAGCTACTTGGGAGGCTGAGGCAGGAGAATCGCTTGAACCCAGGAGTCGGAGATTGTGGTGAGCGGAGATAGTACCACTGCACTCCAGCCTGGGTGACAGAGCAAGACTTCATCAAAAAAAGAAAGAAAGAGAGAGAGAGAAAGAAAAGAAAAAGAAAGAAAGAAAGAGAGAAAGAGAGAAAGAGAAAGAAAGAAAGAAAGAAAGAAAGAAAGAAAGAAAGAAAGAAAGAAAGAAAGAAAGAGAGAGAAAGTCTATTGAAGTCCCAGCTTCTATTTATGAGCCATGAAAACGGGCTCGAGATTCACCTTTTTGAGACTGGGAACTGTAGGGAAGGAGCCTTGGGCTGGGTCTTGAAAAGACAAGGGAGGAAGGCAGAAAAGTTGTTATAGGCAGAAGAAGAGGTCTCTGCAAATGCCTGCAGATGTGAAAATGCATAACATATTCAGAGAATTGTCTGGAATGGCCTCAGCCAAGTCAGACAGGGAAGATAGATGGGATCAGTGGCAGCCTCCCTACTCTTCCTATAGCACCTCTTGCATATTTCTGCTCACACAGTTGTGCTTAAATCACTCCCCTTACCTGAAGGCTTTCCCAGTTCTCTCCAGCTACCAACTCTTCCCATTGTCACTCGCATGTACCCCATCTCTCCAATGCAGCATTTCTTGCTGCCCTGGGCCACAAGGTCCCCTCCATAGGCCTCTATCAGCATTTACCATCAGTGCAGCTCATTTAGCCCCTAGCCCTTTCTCTGTGTGACTAGTAATACTTTCATCTCCAACAGAAACAGAAATCATTCATGTATGAGCTGTCTTATCCTATCTGTCTTTACTCTTGCTCTGTGTTGATTTTCTATTGCTAGGTAACAAATAATGGCAAACTTAGAGGTCCAAAGCAACTCCCACTTATTAGCTCACAGTGGTATGTAGGTCAGAGGTCCAGCAACAGCATTGCTGGGTTCTGTTTGCAGGGTCTCACAAGGCTGAAATCAAGGTGTCAGCCAGTCTGTGTTTCTTTTTGGATACTCTGGGGAAAAAAATCCATTTCTGTATTAGTCTGTTTTCACTCTGCTGATAAAGACATACCTGAGACTGGGTCATTTAGAAAGAAAAAGAGGTTTAATGGACTCACGGTTCCATGTGGCTGGGGAGGCCTCACAATCACGGCAGAAGGTGAAAGGCACTTCTTACATGGTGGCAGACAAGAGAGAAGTGATAGCCAAGTGGAAGGGGTTTCCCCTTATAAAACCATCAGATCTCGTGAGACATATTCACTACCACGAGAACAGTATAAGGGAAACCACCCCCATGATTCAATTATCTCCTCTCACAACACTTGGGAATTATGGGAGCTACAATTCATGATGAGATTTGGGTGGGGACACAGCCAAACCATATAAACTTCCAAAGTCATTAAAGTTGTTGGCCAAAGTCAGCTCCTTGAGGTTGTAGGACTGAGGTCCCTGTTTCCTTATCAGGGGTTTCTCTTACCTCCTATAGGACACCCACATTCCTTGCCACATGGTCCCCATGGACAGCTCGCAACATGGTTGTTACCTCTTCCAGCCCAGCAAGAGCACATCTCTGACTCCTTCCTCAGTGACCAACCTGAGAAACACTTCTGCTTTTAA